>NC_000007.14:86749203-87052233 GCF_000001405.40 Homo sapiens
CTGATCTTCAGCTTTCCTCTGGGTGTCATGTGAAACACCATCCTTTGGGTGACATCTTGTGTGCCCCACCACAGGTCCTATAAAGTGGCAGCCCTCCCGTGGTGAAATGGGTTACTTGTAGGCTGTGAGAAGGATGCTTGGGTAGTTCAGCATCTACACTACTGAGATAATTTTGGCTACATTTCGCAGGAATTGCAGTTCAGGGCTTTTGAAATTCCCCAAGGTTATTACCCCATATGTATGCTAAACGGCAAAGTGTAAATGTCCTGTGCTAAGCCACAAGTAAAAGAAACATCTGGACAGTGGATAGAATCAGCACCAAACACGGCCTTGATGAGAAGGCTAATGGATGCCAGATGTGGAAACAAATTCATGTACAAAGGTCCCCTCTCTAGGCAGGATCATTTCTAAGTGTCGTGACCTAGAAGAAAAGTTCTCCTGAAACTGAAATGAAGCATGTATAGACTTCAGAAAAAAGTATTTTTGAGGCAATAATAATGTAGGAATTTAAGTTAAGCCAACACAAATATGTTCTAGGAAAGAGAAGCACCAGATAGACAAACAAGCTGCTGGAGGTGCCTAGATTGTCACATCTTCCTTACTGCTTTTCAGAGTCCTCTGAGACATTAGGACACAATTCTCAACAGATGGGAGTTATAAAAGGAGTTATCCCCAGTCAAAAACTGGGAATCAGATAATTCTATTCCACTACTCAGTGACTGAGGAGTCCTGAGCAAGTAGCACTTAAGTTTGCCCCTAAGCTAGTTTTACTCATCTATTTATAGCAGAAATCTTGGAAAGAGTAAATGAGCATATGTAAAGCAACTTGCATACAAGTTCAAAAAAAATTGGTTACTTTTCCCATTCAAGAATGAAGAAACTAGTGAAAAAGAAAGCTGAGGTTTGTCGTAAAGTGATAAAAGGAGAAAATATATATTCATTAATTTAGTCAACAAATATTTATTGCACACCTAATATATGCCTGGCAATGCATTATATATCAAAAAGAAAGATTATGCTAATCTACACAGAATTGCTGCAGCTCACAAGTTTAGCTACGCTAACTAATTTACACAAAGCTTTCCAAGTATCTTGCACTACAGTTTACTTTGTGACCAATAGCATGCTTGTGTAATACAGACTATGACCAAATATGTAACACCAGTTTTGTCTAGAATAATGCAACTTGGACAAATCAAATGATGTAGGCTTTACTAGTTCTATGGGCTAAGTAACTGAATTAGCTTGCCCAGACTTGGAAACATATGCTGTGTTAGGAATGAAAAGAAAAAGCATGAGGAGTTATCTTAGTGTTTCCTAGCCACTAAAGAAATTGGGCCGTAAAAGAGAAAAGAAGTGAATGGATAAAATCATTGAAACTGGTGCTGCTAAGATGAAATTTAGAGTGACAAGAGATATTTGCATCGTTCAAGTGACCACAGGTGAAGAATACAAGTTTAGAGCAATATCTTAAATAGACTAAAGTAGATTAAAAAAAAAAAGTGTGTGAAATCTGAATGGAAGAAGGTTGCAACAATCAGAAACAAAGATCAATAAAAGATTGATGTTATCTAAAAATAGCAACAGAGAAAAGAAAGCCAAACTTGGAGCTACTGTGAGCAAAACAGCAACTAGGACTTGGCGAAAGCTTGAGTACAGAGAAAAGAATGTATACCTAAAAGGTCAGGATAGGGAGGATAATTTAAACCAACTTTCAATACAATTTGTGTGAACATTTTAAATATGAGAGTCCACTGTAACTAGAAATATAGGGCATAAGGAAAATAATAGAAGTGGATATATGAAATATATTCTTATGACTGCCACCTATTGATATTTTAATCTTAGACCAGTGAGTTGATCTCTGCTGTCATCAATTTCCCCATTGTCTGAAATGGCATCAGGTATCACCGTGGGCAAGACAGCCACATTCAAAGGTTAACTGCATCTGGAAAGAGCAGTAGTAATCCGAAGCTCTTAAGCTCTGCCATGCAGTTTGCCCATCCAGTTGGAAATGGTAATCTATCCCAACCTTCATGGTAGAAGCAACCAATTACGGCAATGAAGGAGGAGGCTGTGGCCCTCTTCAGATGTGTCACACTGGAGTGTGCTGCCAAAATAAATTTGAGTTATGTTTTGTTTAGCTGTTAATTGTTATCAGAGTCCCAACAAACTTCATTTACTGTATTTTGCAGAGATGCCGTCCTACTGCTCCTTGTATCTTTAGAACCTACCACAGGGCCTGGCACATAATAGACATAATAAGCAATTTTGTTTAAATCATTGAACATAATTTTTTGAACAGTGGAACATAGTAAAACCACAGTATAATTTCATTCACTTTTCAGAAATCAAGCTGTGAAAGTAACAGTTGCCTGACTTAGAATCTTCTGATTGGAACTCACTCTTCACCTTTCTCTTCCCATGCAGCCTAAACTATAAAGTTGCAAGTTCCAAATGTCAGGCAGTGTGTCACTGGTAGTATTTGTCATTTACACCCAGACTCATGGTTTCTGCTTGTGTACAGAAAGGATAACAAAGTGACTGGCTTGCTATTATAATGAGAAGGAGGCCTCTGCACGCCCATCACTCACTTGCAGTGAGGTATGGCATCTCATCTTCCTCTAGGACTTCTCACCAGGCATTAGAGGATTCTCTCATCAGAGTTAGTGCTGTTAGTAAGCCCACAGTTGCAAATTCATGTCAATACTCCTGTGACCTATTTGTTATATACTGTCATTTTTAAAAAATGCACAGCCACACTAGCCATTCTTTTTCACTTCAGACCTGCTTTTGTTATTTTAAATTTTCATTGAAGTGTAATATACATACAGAAAAATGCATGTCATAATTGCACAGCTTTATGACTTTTCACAAACTGAACACACCTCATGAAACAAAAGTCTGGATCAAGAAACACAAATTTGCCAGCACTCGAGAAACCCTCTCAGGCTTCCTACAAGTCAGTAACCTCTCATATTCACAAGAGTAAAATCTGTCTGACCTTACAATACTGTAGATAACTTTGGTATGTTTAGGCTTTTATATAAATGGATTCATGCAATACGCACTCTTTGGTGCCTAGCTCTGCCTTTATTACTTGGAGAAATGGGCCCTTGTGTAACATACACATGCCATAATTTTATGCCCATAATTTGAGTATAATACAAAGAAAGGAAAGCAAACCTAGAAGCTGTGTTATATGAAGGCTTTGTGTTATTCTTAGTCTTTTTAAAGCACAGGTAAAATCAGAACCAGTTTAAAAGTTGAAAGCTATACAAGAGATATGTTAGTCTTGTTAGTTGAAAATCTGTCTCAAATTATATCTGTGTTGGGAGATTCCTACATTGAAATGTGTACAACAAGATAGTAGGGGTCAATATTCCCTGAAACTCATCAAGGACAAGAGGGCAGAAGACAGCCCAGACTTGCTGTCACAGGCACAGTAGTTGCCATGGAATTTAAAGACTAATAAGTGTTATAGAGGACCCAAACCTCCTATAACTAAGGCCTCTATTGTGATGGGATAGTGAAAATTAAGTCAGAAACAACTTGGACACCAGAATTTTAGGAAATATTCTTCTTTTGACATTAGGGGTCAGTTAATGTCCTAGTCCAGATTGACTCAGGATAAGACGTGCCCAGCCCCCTTCTAACAAAACTCAGTACAACAGGAGAGGATCAAGGGAGTAAGGATGCTAACATTTTCTGGAGAAACAGAATATATCAACTGAGTGTGAGCACATGTGTCCTTTTGAGGAGAAGGAGATGATCACTTTCCATCTTCTCCTGGCATATTATGGTATTTAGCACCCATAAACACTAAACAATTCAGAATTTACTGGAGACCTTGGAACTTTGATTCCCTCATTGCATCATCCGCACAGCCAGCAGTTCCCCAAGATCACACACCACCTTACACCTCAATGAGAAGAAAGGCAGAATGCTAGCTGATGGGGATCATTTGGAGAGTCCAGAACACCCCCAATTTCATTAGAGTCATTGATAAATTATCCTCACTCCAACAATTTTAATAATAGCTAACAGTTATTGAGCTAATGTTATGTTTTGTTTCATTTAATCCTAAAAAAACATGAAATAGGTATTGTTCTTGTCTTCATTTTACACATATATAAAATGAGAGCCAAAGAGGTGGCCATGTGCTGACATCATGAAGTAGATTCAAACATTTCACTGAAGAGGCCAAACCCTAACACAGTGGCTTTCAAAATGTTTTTTTAACATGTCCCAGTAAGAAATTATTTTACATTGTAACCCAGAATAAATATTCATATACACATGCATACACACCAAAATATCTTAGAAAATAATATTCACCCTTTCTACATAAATGCCTTATATTCATATTTTGATATTTTTATTATATTTTAAGCTCTTCTATTTCCTTTTAAAATGCTCGCTGTGATTTGCTAATATGGATTATGACACTTGAATAGGTTGTGAAAATTTGATCTGCAGTTAGAAAAACTCTGATCTAAGGTACTATACCATATTGCCTTCCCAATCAATTTCTACTTGATTTTCTAGGAATGGATTTTATAAGAGCATTGTTAAATTTACCACCAGTGGTGTGCTGGTAAATATTTAACAATCAAATCTTGGGAACTTATGGAGGGACTGATTTTTAGTGTTTGCTGATTTCTGTGATGTAAGCGCTCTCACCACGGCCAATTTTAAGGTGCCAGCATGGTGACACTGAACACAGCCTTGGGAAGAGATATGTGTAATTGGTTTTTGAGAGATGGTACCAGCCAACTACTGCATACTAATGATTGTCCACAGAATTTTCCAGCTAAGCAGAACTGAAAAAATATGTTCTAAGGTCACTTAAATGATAGGAGAGTTCCATTACGCCAGGTTTAACTTATCAATGGCATTTAATTGTCTATCTGATGAGATCAGGATTATTCTAAGCCTGAAATCTCATAGTATCTGATATACACAAGTTGACTTCTATTTGAGTATGGGGTTCATACATGCTATAACTTGAAGAACATCAGTTAGGCCTTGATACTTTACTATCTGTACACAAAGGTATCTACAATTCCATGATTAAAAATGTCTCTCTCTTTAATGTTTTAACCCTGTGTTTTGGGCCATTCAAAAATTTGATCATCCCTAAATGGGTAACAAATTAACTTGCATTAATGTGCCAAAACTGGTGGTTTAATATATCAGATGACTTGATTGTGGTAAGAGAATTGAGAATATGGGACTTCTGATAATAGCATAAAGAAAAGATGATTCTGGAGTCACTGAATTTCTGGAAAGAGCTGTCATTAATACAGTAGCACAGTGGGAGCCATCATGAAGCCTGTGGCCATCTGAGATGGCATCTATATGTAAGGGTATAAATGGGATAAAAGTTATGGGATTAAATAAAATAATCTATGTAGAACATTAACCATAGTTTTAGCACATAGTAGGTGCCCAATAAATTTTATTATCTTTAATGTAAAGGGTATGGGAAAGACAGAGAGAGGCTATTTGGGAATCTTTTTGGGCAAGTTATATAAAACCAATTTCAAACTGATTTCAGCAAAACCAAAAGGGAATTTATTGTCTCATGTTACTGGGAAATTTTAGATGGATTAAGCAGCACGGGTGTCACTATATCCCCATTCCTTGGCTCTGCATTTCTCTGTGTTTATTCTCAGACAGGCATTTGTCTCATGGTGGTAAGATGCCCACCAGCAGCTCCCATACTTACAAGAGCTTACATGCATTCTTTTAAGCCACTCTACCAGAGAGAGGATGTTTTCCTCCTAGTGGTTCTGAAAAATTTTCTTAAATCATCCTGCTTGGCAATGATTTGGTGACAGGCTCATTCCTTAACCAACTGCAGTAGCCAGGGACATTTGACTCTGGTTAATCAGGTGTGTCATAAGCCACCCATCAAGCCAGGAATGAATTCACCTCACTTTAGAAGCATATGCATTGGTTCCCGAAGGAAAACTGTGGTGTAGTTTCCAGGAAAAAAAAAAAGGAAATGGATGCTAATCTGTCAGACCAAAATGGAAAAATTCAGCTCTGTTTTAGCTGATTGGGATTTTGCTTAAAAGTGAAACTTCCCAAATGTTGAAATTTTATTCAGCAAGTCAATTCAGGTATGACATTCAAAAGGCTTAACAACTAGTATCAAGTTATCGAAATGGGCAGTAATCATAACCTTGGAAGTGGAAACTAAAGACCCTACTGTGCCAGAATCTAACCCTTTAGTTGCTGGGTCATAAGGAAATATGGGGGTTAAGGATGGGAGAGGGTAGGTGGAGATATGCCAGAGAGGGGACCAGAATAGCCAGAAAGATGGAGAAATGCTCAAAGGGCTTGGTAGGATTGGCTATACACCAACTTGATGGAAATATTTAAATATTTTAACAACTGGTATGGCTGTACCAGTGTGTGCCAGCTGGGTTTAAGCCTTGACTAAATCTATTAGCAGCAATAAAATTAAAGAAAAATATTCTCTCAAATGCTACTTTCAGAAACATGGCTGTTGAATTATGGGGATGGCTCTTTTAGTAGAAGGCTCTAGAATGCCTAAGGGGGTTTCCAGCAAACAGGATATAGGATGAAGGCAAACATATATATACAGAGAGAAGTAAAATCAAACCATAAAATAAACAAAATGGTAGTGGAACTTTTCTCACTTTTTAAAAAAATTTGTGACAAATATAGCTTTTATGAAATTAAGCTAACAATATCTAATGTCTAGACTTACAGATTTTCTTCTGTATTAACCCACATATTGACCATTTTGGTATTGTTCATTCCTTCTTGTAGGTTTGATTTTCCATCTGGTGTTGTTTCCTCTTACTTTGAAGTAATTCCTGTAGCATTTCTTTGTTTGTTTGTTTGTTTTTGTTTCCTGAAATGGAGTTTAACTTCTGTGCCCCCAGACTGGAGTGCAATGGCGTGATCTTTGCTCACTGCAACCTCCTCCTCCTGGGTTCAAGTGATTCTCCTGCCTCAGCCTCCCAAGTAGCTGGGATTACAGGCACACACCACCAAGCCCAGCTAATTTTTGTATTTTTAGTAAAGACGGGGTTTCACCATGTTGGCCAGGCTGGTCTCGAACTCCTGACCTCAAGTGATCCACCCACCTTGGCCTCCCAAAGTGCTGGGATTACAGACATGAGCCACGGTGCCTGGCCCTCCTCTAGCATTTCTGATTGTGTAAGTCTACTAATTGTGAAATGTCTGTTCTAATTGCCTATAAAAAGTCTTTATTTCAACTTCTTAAAGTATAGTTTAACTGGATAGAGAATTCTGTGGTGCTTGACCAGTTTTTCCCCAGAACTTCAAAGGTGCCATTTCATTAAGTTATTTTTTCTGATAAGTCAGCTATCATTAATATTGTTGTTACATTACACATATGTGCTGCTTTATTCTGATTGTTTTCAAGGATTTTCCTTTACCTTTACTTTAATCAATTTGGCTATGATTTAACTACATATGGTTTTATTTATATTTATCCTGCTTGAGAATTGCTGAGCTCCTTGGTTTTGTAATCTTATGTTTATCATCAAATTTGGGGAATTTTTTGGCCATTACTTCAAGTATTTTCTCTCATTCATCTCTCCTTCTGAAACATTAATTTTGCATGTGTTAGACTACTAAATATTGTCCAACTGGACACTGAAGATTTGTTGAATTTCTTTTCTATCTTTTTTCTCTCTGATTGGATTAGATTATTTCTTTTGGTCCATTTTCAAGTTTATTATTTTGCCTCTCCAATCTGTTGCCTCCTGTCATGAAATCTTTATTTTAAATATTGTACTTCTGAGTTCTAGAATCTCCATATAGTATTTTTATAGTTTCCCTTCTCTGCTGAGATTCCCCAACTATTCATTCATTTTGTTGTGTTTTCGAACATATTTATAATAGTCCAAGTTCTTGTCTGTTAATTCCAAAATGTGCACCATTTCAGGTCTTATTTCAAATAATGCTTTCTCTCTTTGCTCTGGGTGCTGTTTTTCTGTTGTCTTATATGTCAAGCAATTTATACTTACATGCTGGTTATTATAGGACATATATTTGTAGGCAGTCTGAATTATGTCATCTTTCTTTAAGAGTTTGAGTTTTGTCCTAACAGGCACATAAATAAATACTGGTGGATCATTTTACTTTTGTTAGACTTAGTTTCATTCTTTATAAGGACAGGTCTGTTTTATACTTAGTCCTATGACATGGCCCTAATTCCAGAGCTTGGCCTTTACTAATAGAGTACAGCCAGTCTTTCTAAGGTTTTAATAAAAAGCACAAAGTGCCTAGTTTGATCTCTGCACTCCGGCTGGCTTGGAACTCTAATACCTCTCGGATATGTCTGCCAGGCCTCACTGAGTCTCACCCTGTGGATGACCACTCAGATCTGCCCACCAACTCCATGCAGCTCACTGCCCCACAAATAGCAACCACTTTAGCAGCTTAGAATTCTATTAAATAATCCCTGCCTCCTCAAGTCAGAAAGACTGCCACTGCTACATGGCAGGAAAGTGCCCTGTGCAGAATACTGGGGAATCTATGGGGTAACCATGGGGTTTCCCTCATGTGTTTTTTTTTCTGTCAAAGATCATAGTTTGCTTCATATTTTTTCTACAATTTTGTAGTTATTTTCAGCAGGAGGGTAAATCCAGTTAACAGTCCAATATCTGTACTTGACTTCTCCTAGTAACCATGTCATAGGAATGGTCACCAGGAATATGTGAATGATAGAAGTGATATCTTTGTAAAGACATGTGTGACATATGTTCTGTTTTGTAGACTTGTTGGAGCAATAATGGTAACGTCTTCCTAAATCCTAATTCTGTATTTATTACTGCTGACTACCATCTTGAGCAATTTGCTTTACTCTTTCTCTCAGTCCCTCTCTCACTCTCTACTTAGCAATAGATGATATAATTATTTCTTACCAGGAAACAGAAGAGTTAATTCACTATGCAGAATACTCTGAAATTATATAAAAAGGGACTGTATACATCTAGGAAATTATTAATAATAGCCACTTGATGGGTCATATTGCCAATTGGTAAAAATATCCTCCTAAAAATGGTATTCCTCCATTTCTGCTCCTTCACCATTTTGTCCAGAGCTAGAGAGAAAGCTTTTGAGAAATCCAGTTTCTACACTCGGTTTATGCTGACAAACCTGAAACTTCTATTAGACTTTGCAGCTTGGAAGAGGTAAAGGACAAAGGTGGATCACAGGGAATTTGGAGAGGCTCTAATTCAGAGGCTTTGTAATGAGGGTAAGGAACTTGAGGATGCTAAAGCAGCTGAAATGGCAACACACACATGTGTACGTGCACACATACCATGAAAATACTGTGCATTTTGATGCTTAGGAAAATAAAGGTTTACTTTGAAGGGAAGCGAATAAATCTGCAATATATTCTATACTGAGTCACTCAACAAAGTGAATACTATTGATGGGAAGTAAATTACCAGCATTCACCAAAGTTTAGGACAATCTGTTTGCCTACCTCATAAAATCATTTTCCTCTAAATTCAGAAGATAAAGAAAATAGGAGATGAATAGGAGATGTGATTTTTATTTTTTAATTTACCTTACTTAGTTTTTTTGGTCAAGGTCGAATAGTGAAGTCGGCCTTTCTTCTTTTGGCCTCATCACCATCCGTTTCTCAGCTCCAATATGCCGACTGGCAACGTCCCTCTCTTCAACATACCCAGGGTTCTTGGGTGTTTTCATTTTATCTATTAATAAAATAGGTTTATATAAGAGGGTCTTATCAATTAATTCCCATGATTTGACCTAATGTTTTTGTTGTTTAAAATTTCACACACATTGTGGGATTTCAAACAGCCTTAAACTCAGAAAATTTGAAGGAAAGCAGAACTCTTCTCCCTAACTTTAAATCTTAGTGCATAAGCCTGGCCTCCTCTATTCTGCCCCGTCCTTCATACTTTGAAGGAACTTAACCTGTCATTTGATGTATTGTTTTCCATTCCTCCTAACCCCTCTCAGACCAATAACATGTATTCTAATTCTTTTTTCTCTAAATGCTCTCAAAATTTCCAGTTTTAATTTATACTTTTCTTCCTGTAAAAAATCAACCGGCAATTCAGCATCACAAAGTCAGATCAAAGATATTTGGGTCAAATTTATCCAGGGCCAAAGTTGAATTTTGCCCTACTATAATGTCATTTTGAAAATGACAGATCTTTTTAGCAATCTTTGTTATCTGAATGAAATTTCCAAATTATTTTTTCAATCTCCTGATCAATCTTTCTAAAACTTGCATGCTACTGGGAATTTATTATTTAACCAACTTTTGACAACTGTGTGTGAGGCACTGTGGAACATACAACAATATCTAGAGTATGCTCCTTGATATATAGTAGTTTACAAACTAATGGTAAAGTAAGAATAATTTTCAATTTAAAAACTTTGCAAATAAAACACAAGACAAAATATGATCCTCATGATAAACATAGCACAAAGTATATGGGAATTTAGCAAATGAAGGAACCCCTTACAGTGGAGTAACATGGAAGGCTACAAGGAAAAGAAATTTTAAGGTAGATCTACTAAAAATGATTGGGTTTGAAATGATGAGCTACTCATAATAGCTTCCTAAGACTTCTGGGGAAAAATACCCTTTTTCTCTAGTAAAAGAATTACAGTCATGCAATGGCATATCTCCTATTAAAAATGCCAATATAGCTACAGCGTCTGTTTGTTTACCCAGCTGAAAATGGCAGTCTAGAGCAACGGCTATGCCTTTTGTTGCCCATAATACTGACAGCTGAAAAATTACAGAATCATAATCAAATTGCACATACTAGGACTAACCCTAACTTTGTTCCAGATTGATTGAGTGTGCAGGATTTGAGCACTCTCAGAAACCCTTCAGCAACTTAAGGATTTATTTCTGGGAAAGAGTATGTATGGTTTCTGGCATTTTATCTCCCAGGTAGACCCTTTCCTTTCCCTGGATAAACTACTTTTGTATTGACTGAAAGTGCATTTCATTTCCGACACCGAGTCCCTGAGCAAAGAATGGATGAAAAGACATATTATCATATGCAGAGTACAGAAATGCTTTCAGTTCATATATTGCAGGGGTTATATTCATAGCAAACATCTGAGATTCTATTAATGCATGAATTAATAAAACATTGGTGAGCAGGTTGCCTACAGAGAGGGCTACACATGCTTGTTTACAGTTGACGCATCACTCATCATCCCCGAATGGAGAACTTTGACTGTAGAGATGCAATTCTCCAGCTGCATATGAATGTGGCTGCAGTAGGGAGCCTGTTTATCTGAGGAATGTGCTGCTGGCTGATTTATAATGAAAAGAACCGGAAAAGAGGTGGTTGGTGCCCTTTCACACAATCCGATAAACTGTTACACAGAGATAACAGTGGCATTGAATTAAACATGTTTGTCTATTTTTCAATGTTACTTTTTTTTTTAACTTTCTTAGGGCTTCATTTTAAACAGTGCTAATTGTCTCTGATTATGCATAGTGCTACAGTATTAATCATTATAAGTTCTGCTATAAAGAAAAAGTAAATAAAAATACAGTGTATTTAAACATTAATTGATTTTTGATTTGTAATTCTCTAAAATGACATTAAATGTTACTTAGATATGCCCTGTCACAGAGCTAAAAGGAAAAAATATTTTACATGACATTGTCATCCCCCAACTTATTTTTATGGTCTGCATATCTAATTTTTAAATTTATATAACACATGTAGTATGAATAAATCAGTTTTTGAGTATAGCACTTAACAATTATCATGTTGAAGGAAACCAATGGTATACAAACTTTCAAGATTTTCACTAATGATGAAAATAGTTCATAAAAACAGAGATGCATACTTTTCTATCACTCTTTATATAAAAATGTGTAAGCATTTAGAATGTTATTTGACAGCAGGGATGATGTTCATTTGTTTACAACTAAAGTATATATCCTGGGTATCCAACCCATAGCCTAGTGCACACATAGTGGGTGTTCAATAAATATTTCATAAGTGAATGTGTCTCTGAGGCTTTGAGATAGAAGAATGTGCATATTCCTTATTTAGTATTCTCCTGACCAAAAACTTAAGCAGTAAATGTAGGTCAGTTCAGGTCTACATCTCTCCTGGCTTCCTAGATGCCAGTCTCAGTTGCAATATTCAAGTACAAAGGCAGTATTTTTTCTTGCATGATACAAATTCATTACTATATTTCTACCTGTTGGTGACCCTACCATCAAAGAGTGCAATAGGGGAAATGCATCTGATGTGACAAGGTAGGTAATGAAGCAAAAATAATGTATTTCTCTTATTTAATTCCCATTTCCCATACCATAAATAAAATAGTAAAGGGTCATGTGCAAACATAGATATCATGGATGTCTATATTCCTTCAAGAAACATTCGTTGAATTCTTTTACTATACCAGAACGTAAACAAAGAGAAATAAAACACAGTCCTTACCTGTGAAACAGGTAAACTGATAGACACTGTTGCCTTCTTTATCATTTTTGTTCATATAATTTTTATCTCTTTATGAATTTGGTAACAGGCTCTATTAATCTGTTCCTTCCCTATTTGAAGGACAGGCCAAAGATCCAGTTTGGACAGGAGAGACTATTTCTTTCAGCGTAATGCTGTGTTTCATTTGAAGTCTTTTTTGGCTAAGAGCCCTTTCCCAACAGAGAATTAAGCTTTCTATAGACTATAAGGTAATCTTTATTTGAGTAGCCAAACTTTCTTTACATTCAAAAGATGTCTACACTTTTTGCAAAGACACATGGTCAGCCTGTGTTGATGGCCTTCTTTTAATTAGCTATTCTGTTTTACTAGGCACATAAAACAATTATTTTATAGAGAAATTTCTGCATCTTTATCATTAGCGATAATGATCGCAGTGTCTTTTGCCTTCCATGGCAGTTTTTCTTCAAAGGGAATTGCACGTAAAGATCAAAGAGACCAGAAATTGATATGAAACAAAAAAATTCTACTACAGTATCAACTTTTTAAAAAAATTATTATTATTAGACTTTCTGGTACCCTGTGGCAGATCTCCCAGGGAGGCTCTGAGTTAATACTGAGCATTCCAAT
Organism: Homo sapiens; assembly: GCF_000001405.40. Classification (NCBI taxonomy): domain Eukaryota; kingdom Metazoa; phylum Chordata; class Mammalia; order Primates; family Hominidae; genus Homo; species Homo sapiens. Next base: position 86,762,307 of record NC_000007.14, read on the forward strand.
GGCTGCTGCCATCAGTGCTGAGATTCACACCTAAACAAACAGACAAAACATACCCCAGCTGACTCTGTGGCTCAGGAAAACAGCCCATCATTCGCTGCATGTGAAAGGAACAGAAAGTAAGCAGAAATCTGTGTTTTAAAGGGCACTGCTAATATGAAAAGGGAGAAATGTCAAAAATGTTGAAGTAAACACTGGACTAGCTCCTGTCTTGCTTGTTTCATTGAGTTTTTTTCTTCCTTGGCACCTAAAAAATTCTAAATGCTGTGCCATTTCATTAATTCTCAATGAGCACACAAGAAAACAAATATAAATCAAAATAGCAATAGCAAACATTTCTTGAACAAACTACAACAGGAATATAAAGCCAGAAGTCAACAGTTTGATTGGGGAAGGGAGATAAGACAGAATACTTGATCTTTCCTGGTAGTAACTGTTGAGTCTTAAATTGGTAAGTGGCTATTTGCTGGAGAAATTGGTATAGAAGGACATTCTTGGCAAAAGGGAACAGCATGAGCAAAAGCAAGGGGTCATCAACACCCTAAACACCTACTGAGTGCACATAGTTCAATATATCTGCAGCTTAAGATCTGAAGGCAGAGGTAGGCCCATGCAGATAAGCATGGTGAGCAGTAGGACTTTAGAGCTAGCCAGGGACAAGATCATAAAGCACTGAGAAGAGATTTATAATTAGTTAATTCTTAAATCTGTGGGCAAGGGAAACTCAGTATACATTGATAGAAGATGGGCTACTCTGAATAGTAATTGAGATTGTGCATTAGAGTGTCTCCCCCAATGAGACATCATTCAAATTGCTAACATTTGCTAATTTATCTGAGAGCACATGAATAGTGTGGCTTTTAGGCATCTTGATTGAGTCTTGGACCAGCTAGGAGGGCCCTTCCTTCATAAAACCCTTCCAACACACAATCATGTGTGAAGGTTGAAAAGCAGACAGGCATGCTCAACTAGAACACACAAGGGCATGTGGCTGCAACCTGTCAGAAGAATGCTCCAGGAGTCTGATGCAGTCAGATCTCTCACTTGACTCTGAAAATAATACGTTCATCTTATCTTGGGGGATAGAAGTAAGCAGGCTGTGTGAATGTGCTGACCAAGTGTTTGCTCTAGTGCTAGAAAGCTGAGTGTCAAAGAATTCAACAGCAGGTACATAGGTTCATGTGTGCATGCAACTAGACTACTCCACACCAGAGTTTTGGAAAGCTCTCTAGAAAGATCCCAGACTACTGTCCAAAACATGATCCTCACAGCAAGGCTTTGCCTGATTCCCAATAGATTCATACGTTCTAGCCTAGAATGTAAAAAGATGCTCAATTCACAGTAGCTACAGTCAACTGTGTGCACCCCAGCACTGGCATTCATTGCACTACCTGAGATGTGACGACAAAATGAGGAGTTGCCTCACTCTGGATAGGGGAGGCAGCCACCAGCAATCACACTTGCCCCATCATCTATAGTTGTACAGGTTATACAACAAAAAGTTGAGAAATCATGTACTTTTAAAGGGGGTATCTTTGTCTAATGCTCAAAACAGTGCTTTGGGGGGTGGTAGCAGCTCTCTAGGAATTTATTGCTAGGGTCCTGCTACGAATTACAAGAGCTCAGCATAGTGGGGATAAGGAAGAAGTGGTAGCTTTGGGAGATGTTAAGCGGTTAGATTCTGCAGGGCATAGTGGCTAATTGAAAGATGGTAGCAGGGGGTGAAGTGGAGAAGACTCTAGGGTGCAGATTTCTGGCCTGAGAGCCTGGAAACAGAGAAGATCCATTCATAGACACGCAGACTTTGAGGTGTCTGAAGGATGTGTGGGTAAAGCTGTTTAACAGGCAGTTGACCTAAGAAGTATGGAGCTCATTTAAGTGGTAGTTGAAACTGAAAATAGATGAGTTGGCCCAGGGAGAGGTAGTGGGAGGATGGGGGAAGGAAGGTGTTAAACAATGGAATTTGAGATGTTGTCAAGATGAAGCATGATAACAGAAACCTAGGAAGTTGTAATAGGTAGAGAATAGTCAAGATTTCAATTAAGGTCAAGTAAAATGAGAACTACAGTGAGTTTATAGTTTATTCAATTTAGAAATAAGTAGCAGCTTTTTCCACAACACTTTTGTTAGAGCAGTTGAGGCAGACTCTTAACCTCAATGGGCTAGGATAGTTCATCTATTAAGGGAGGGACAGAGATGCAGTGGTAGAAATGCAGAAATGGTAACAGAGTTCATTGTGTTTTCTTGTGTTTTAAATGGAAAGGGTAAGAGTCCATAAAAAAGGTAAGTTTACAAATGCAGCTTAAAGAGAAGGGATATAAACTCACATCCACATTGCTGCCCTAACAAAAACAAAGTAAATGACTCAGTAGAGAGAGTACTGGACTTGGCTTTCAAAAGAAAAAAAAACAAAACACAAAAAAACTGGAGTCCAAACCCAATCTGCAATAAGTACACTTTGTAAGGTCACCTCCTTGACCCTCTGTGCCCATTTCTGTGAGATGGGACCACTAGGAACTACATCATAGAGTGTGTAAGGATGGGGTGAGAATACCTGTGAGAGAGTGCCTGGTGCTGTGGTGTACTGTGTGTTTAGTAAATGGTTTTCTGAGTCATCCCATTAAAGGTCTGATTGGGCATGATCGATGTAATCACTGTTGCTTTCTTTACCATTTTTGTTCATATAATTTTTATCTCTTTAGGAATTTTGTGACAGGCTCTGTTAGTCTGTTCCTCCCTTATTTGAAGGACAGGCCAAAGATCCAGTTTGGAAATGAGAGAGGACTAGCATGACACATTGGCTCCACCATTGATATCTCCCAGAGGTACAGAAACAGGATTCATGAAGATGTTGACAAGACTGCAAGTTCTTACCTTAGCTTTGTTTTCAAAGGGATTTTTACTCTCTTTAGGGGACCATAACTTTCTAAGGAGAGAGATTAAAATAGAAGGTGACCTTGTTTTAGGGGGCCTGTTTCCTATTAACGAAAAAGGCACTGGAACTGAAGAATGTGGGCGAATCAATGAAGACCGAGGGATTCAACGCCTGGAAGCCATGTTGTTTGCTATTGATGAAATCAACAAAGATGATTACTTGCTACCAGGAGTGAAGTTGGGTGTTCACATTTTGGATACATGTTCAAGGGATACCTATGCATTGGAGCAATCACTGGAGTTTGTCAGGGCATCTTTGACAAAAGTGGATGAAGCTGAGTATATGTGTCCTGATGGATCCTATGCCATTCAAGAAAACATCCCACTTCTCATTGCAGGGGTCATTGGTGGCTCTTATAGCAGTGTTTCCATACAGGTAAGATTGGCTAATGCTATTGCTAAAAGGCTGTATCTCTTTGCTTTTATGTGTTGGGGGAACAAAAGGAAAATATCATAATAACGTCATCAACGGATTATATCAACAATGCAATTATTAATTTTTCTAGTTATAATTTGATAATATAGGTTTGCAGGCAGAAGATTTTTCTACCAATGAAAATTGTTTAGAAGCATATCAGGTAGCTATTGCAACATTAAACACTACCCCCAAAATTCAGTGGTTCAAATAAGAATATTATTTATTAGTTTACAAGTCTAAAGATCAGATGCTGTGAACTAATGGAGGCTGGGTTTCACTGGGGGCAGCTCTGCTCCAGGTTGTCTCTTATCCTCCTCCTGGAATCGATCATCTAGCCCAGGAATGTTCTCTGAGTGATGGCAGAGGTGCAAGAGAATGCAAACTCAGCTGTACAAAGCTCTTTCAAGTTTCTGCTTGCTTCGCACCTGCTGACATCCCATTAGCAAAAGCAACTCACAGGGCTCAATCCAGAGTGAAGGAGCTGGTAAGTATGCCCTGCCCACAGGACAAGTGCTGCAGTTATGCAACAGACTATCAAGGTAAGATGAAATAATAATTTGAAGCCACTGATGCAATCAAACACAGGAAGGCATAATGTCATGGAACTCCATTATTCCCACTAATTTTTACTAAAGCATTTTTTTGTTCAGAGATAAAATACAAATAAAATTTCTCAGGATATAAACCTAAAAATGTATGCAGAGAAGCCAGAGGATTACTACCATTAAAAAAAAAAAGGAAACATTTAACACATAACTTAAACTAAATATAAAGCTAATAATTGGCTGTCATAATTTTGTTGGGAAAGAAGAAATATACATACTCTTGCAATCCTTACTTATAAGGTTACTAAATTTTATAGAAGTAAATAAGTGAGAAATCATCTAGCTTAACTTCATCATTTTCCCAATCCCCAGAAAGATTGGTTTCATGAAAACTCCCACTGGTAGAAAGTACAAGAACTAGAACTCAGATAGATCTTTTGTACTTCTGTGTTCTTTTAACTACCCCATGTGATATTTATATGTTACTTTAAGTTTAGTATTTTTTCTGATTAGAGCATTAATGTCACAGTAATAAAAGTCCATGATTCTAAGAGTCATACACTTTGCCTCCCACCAAATTACTATAATCAAAGCCCCAAGCACTAAAAGAAACTATACCACACTCATGTTGTCTTTTTATGTCATGAACCACTTAAATTGGCTATATTTGCGTTGGAATAACCTTCTTTCTCTATCTCACATTTGTGGCACTTAAAATTCTAGGTATAGGCCAGGTGCTGTGGCTCATGCCTGTAATCTCAGCACTTTGGGAGGCTGAGGCAGGCAGATCACCTGAGGTCAGGAGCTTGAGACCAGCCTGGCCAACATGGTGAAACCCTGTCTCTATCAAAAATACAAAACATTAGCAGGGCATAGTGGGACACACCTGTGTTCCCAGATACTCGGGAGGCTGAGGCAGGAGAATCACTTGAACCCAGGGGGCAGAGATTGCAGTGAGCCAAGATCAGGCCACTGCCCTCTAGCCTGGAGCAACTGAGCAAGACTTCATCTCAAAAAAAAAAATGTAAATAATGATAAATATATAGATAGATACATAAAATAAAATTCTAGGTATAATTCTTTGTGGTTCTCTATGAGCTATTTGAAATTTATTTCCTTCTTCAGATTACACCATCATGTTATGAGTAATTAGGATAACTGGTTTTAAATAAACATCCTTAGGTTTCACTAGATGGATAGAAAATATTGCACATATGAAAGCACATCATGTTAATTTTGCCACTCTTTCTATACTTGGATAAAGAGAGATGAAAAATGCTATTTTATTTGAGGAAAGAGTATCGGTCATACTTCATATATATATATATATATATATATATATATATATATATATATATAAATGAAGTATGAAACATTTCATATATGTGTATATATATAGTCTGCCATACTTCAATCATAATTTCCAGATGAATGCCAGTCATTTCACGAATTTATATTATACCCAATATTACCACTAGTAAGGGCTTATATATATGCGCTTTTTCTCACCTTAGTTTCTCCTAGTGCAATAAATGGTACTCTACAGCAGATGTGTAAATATCCCACTTATCCAAAGTAATTGAGAAACTGTGCCCTGCAAATGGCCTTTTTACAATCTAATTTTACTCTTTTACTACCTATTTACTTCCTGGAAGAAGTCAGACTAGTTTAGAGGAAAAAATGTGGGCTACCAAAACCCTGTACTAGTTAGTTCTGAAGGTCAGAAGCCACTTCTTACTCATTGAAAGACCTATCTCATTAGGTTTTTTTCATTTATCTGGTCAATATCACCATGAAGTCACAAACATTGATAAGGTTCTTATCTTCACAGCATAAATAAAAGACCCAAAACTATCATGCTATAATGGAAACAGTGTAGATTTTGGCAACAGAAAGACCTGAGTTTGAATTCCAACTACACCGTTTTCTGGTTAATCTGTAAAATGAAGAAAATATCATCTACCTCAAAAAGTTGGAGAGAAGATAAATTAAGAAAATCTGTGGAAAATGCCTCACCAAAAACTGACAGATTCAATAAATGGTAACCTTATGTCCCTAAAATTATAGGAAAGGTCAGTGGAAAGCCATATCGAAAGCTAATTATGTGGACTTCTCTGGTGCCCAAGCAGTCCCATGAAGTCATTGCTGGTTTCCCACATGGTTAATCAGCAAGTCAGTCTGTATTAAGCTCCTACTGTGTGCACTGCACTGTGACAGGAGTTAGAGCAAACACTAAAGTCATATAGAACACAGCCCTGATCTCAAGAAACTTAAAATCTGGTTATGGGTACAATGTGCTCTGAAATAACAGTAACTATAATTCAGAATATGTTCATGTAGCTCACAAAGTAAGAAATGACCTTTAGAAAGGTTTTGAGGATGAGTAAGAATGAAAGTTGCATTGGAGAAAGGCTAACAGGGTGACAGTGTAAATGAGATGCTGGATCTGAAGAGGCCAATCAGAAAACTGTGGGAGACGTCCATGTACAAGGGGATAAAGGCCTTGACATGAATAAGAAGGAACAAGAGAGAAGGCTCCATTCCCTCCTCCATGGCTCCAACATTTCCTGACTAGTCAGACTCTGATTAGGCCACAGACTTGTCCAGGCCAAGTCAAGCCAGGAGTTGGAGCAATTAGGCTATACACTGACCCCCATGCCCCCTTCCAAGGAACCCTTCAATACAGGGTCCTGTATTCAGCTAGGCATCACAAATAATAAGAGTTGTTAGGTGGCTGTTATGTAGCTAAGAATTAAAGTGTGTTATTCCTTTGAAACATATATGTCCTTTAATAAGAATTCTAAAAAATATAGTCAGTGGTAATCCAAAGCCATAAATTCCTAATGGTGAATTTAAGGCCCTCTTTTACACTAACGAGGGAAACATTTTTGGAGAGAAGATTTCTCTGGGTACCTCTGATACTCACATGCTCCTGCTCCAGTGACTGATTCTGGTCATACACCTGGTGTGTGGTAACCGTGGTGACAGTGTGCAGCCTGTAGCATTGCCATCCATTTTTAACTACTTTTGACTTCCTGCATATGTACTGGAAATTGTCTTTTCTTGAACTGAGCCGGGGGAAAAAAGAGGGTGGAAGAAATAAATGAGTATGAACCTGTCACATAATTTTAAAAATTCCTGCTGTCTGATTATAACATCTAGTCCCAAACCAGGGCTCAGGGGTTTTCCATTGCAAATTGCCTGTTGAGAGAGAACTTTAGAGAATGACAGCATTTTGTGCATCTTCCCTTTTGTGGTTGGGTCAGTTTAGACATTGCAATCTCCCCATTTGGGCCTGGATTCCTTTCTCTGCTGAATTGCTTCAGGAAGTGCTTTCTCTCCAGCTTCCTCTTCTTTTCTTATCTTCCCACTAAAGGATAGAAACTTTTCCGGAAGGCAGCATAGGAGATATGCCATGCTGTGTTAGTTCATACAATAGGCAGTGTTTGCTGATAGGAAAACTGCATGGAGGGGAATTCTTAATGACTTGCTGGGTTAAGCTGTATCACCATTGATGAAGAAACTGGATAATTATTTTCCCAATGCTCTTATTAAGTACAACAAGCCAGTCTGCTGTGGTCCCTTTTATAAAACAACAGTATTGATTTCTTAATTCAGTAATCAATGAAAGCTAACATCAAAATCCTTCTATATTAGCAAATATATGTGGGAGTCTATTCACTCTCCCTGGAGAATAAGTTTCTTTCAAAGCATTTTTAAGACTGTATCCTGCACTTCTCCATAAGCCTGCAATCCACCCACTTCAGGGAAAACAGTATTTATATTTATTCAAGAAGAGAATCAAGTTGGTTGCTGTTAGGTGATTGTCTACATGGTACTTGTTTTGAAACAATGATAATGCTTGTGCTTTTCGAATAGACTGTAGTTAACTGCTAAGTTGTTCAATCAAAAATTTTCCTTGAAATGATCTTCACTCTTTCCAGAGAACACATCATTTCTTCAGTTTTTCTTGCCTAGATGGAGCAAATTTTAATTAGAACATAGCAGATATAAGTTGACCCAGTTATTGTTTTGTCCCTGAGTGTTAAAGCGACTTCAGGAACAAATGAAGATTTGGCTTAGATGGCATGTAAAAGTTAAGCTCATAGAAAGGGCAGAAGAGAGCCTTGAAAGGACCTTCCTATCTCTTTCCCATCCCTGGTATAGAAATTTTCCAGAATTTCTAGCACTATCCACATCCCAGGAACACTCTAACTCAGGAGATGGTTACTATCACATAGTATAACATGACATGACATGACATGCATTGTTCACATTGTACCCCTGAGAAGAATAACTCCTGAAATTAAATCCATTGCAGTAAATTTCACAGGTTTTAGCTATATGGGGAAGAGGGAAGAGCATATAAAGACATCCCTCTATTATACCCCCTTCACTCAACTCCACAGTGCTCAAGGGGACCACCGCTGGTCAATTTGTATTAAGCATTGGTTTCTTTCAATGATTCATTCCTCCTTTAAATTCAAATGTTTTGAGGAAAAGTCACACATTAATTGCCAGTTTTCTTATAGGAGCATAGGAAAAATAGTTGCAGAACTTGGGAGTGTAATAGCCTTCATATAGTTAGCTGTCTCCAAGTATCTGATAGACAGCTGAATGGAAACAAGTACACTCTCTCTGTGGACAAATAGGTTGACTCTAGAGCAACCTTGGCACTATTGCTGTTTTGGGCTGGATATAAGGCTGTCCTGTACATGGTAAGATGTTTGGTAGCATCACCACCCTCTACCCATGAGATGCCACCAGCACCCCAAGCTTTGTCATCTAAAAATGTTTCCATACATTGGCAAGTTACAAAATTATCCCCTTTCCTCACTGAGAATCACTGATCTGGAGCAAGGTATATTTAGAGCCAACATAAGGAAGACTTCTTAAAAAGGAAATAGCCTGGAAGGAGAGGGGTTGAAGGAAGTGAGTTCTCTGTTTCTGGAGTTATTCAAGCAAAAGTTGGCCTGTTACTGAGGAGACTGAAGCCATATATTAGTATTTGAACTACAAGGCATTTAAGGGTATTTCTTAACATTATAATTATATGTCACTTTATGAAAATACTCTACTATTAGGGTTTAAGTAATTGCAAAGGAAGTATTTAAAATATGGAGCAGAAAGTTTACATAATGGGCTCTTTTATATCGGGATCACTTTGAAGCAGTAGTCCAGTCAATTGTTATTTCACTTGATTATATTAGTATTTTTGCAAATGCCATGAATTAAGCATCTTATTTACCTATCTATTATAACTAGGGTTCTCATATAAAAGCATTTTTATCAGAAAATAAGCATTTATTAAGCATGTATACAGTAGGCACAGCAAGAACAGTATTCCATAGAACATTATTCTATAGAACATTATTCTATAGAACATTATCATGTAGTCTTGACATGGAGTAGAGGGAACATAAAATACAATTTTAAAATAGTAGATATCTTACAAGCTTCTGAGGGATATAGAAGCAAATTGAAATATCAAGACCATACATAAAACAAGTCCAAGTGTAGAATCTGAGTATCAATTGGCAACATAAGTACAGGGAGATCAGAAAGAAGAATAGAATTAGCAGACAGGAATAGAATTGAACAGGGGAAAGACGTCTAGATATACATAAACAGAAAGCCTGCCTTCGAAGCCTTCCTGGAAAGTTGCTTTCTCATAGTCTACAGAAAGATGTCTGCACAGTCTTTCATATATGAGGGAACACAGTGTTTCATCCACCTAGAATGCAGTGTTCTTCAGCTGTCTGTATGCCTTGCAAATCCTACTTTCCTTCAGTCCTATCCCTGTGAGAACCCTTTCCCAAGTACTCACTTCATGTACATGCCCCTCCATTACTAAGTAAATATAACTGTTCATTTGCATATTTATTCTTCCATGAACTATAAGCCACTTGAGTTTAAGAACCACATTTTTTGTCTTTATATTATATTACTGATACCTAGAATAGTGTCTCAACCAGGTAGAGAGTAAGTCTTTGTTGAATGAATTGAAAGAATTGATTACCTATGTACAGTTGATAAGAACTGAAAGATGTTAACCTGCTATACTTCCAGAAGGCTCAAAATCTTTATGGGAATCTTGGATTAAGGGTCACAACCATCACCCACCTATTCTAGATCAGTCTGGATGCTCATAAATGAGAAATAAGCATTTCTCTGCAATGGAAGACTTGTTTAGATATAAAAGACAGACAATGTTGCAAGGCGAGCATGTGGGACAAAATTGCCCCCATCGTCCTCACTCCCATTCTTTACACATGTGCCACAGATGCTTTGATTTGAGAGCAGCTCTAGGGGTTCCATTCCAATTGTACTTAGACCAACTATTCCAGAGAAGACTATCCAAGGCTCAACACAACTAGACAGTCAGGGCCATTTTGAATGTTAGAGCCTGTCCTCTTATCTAGCTGTCTGCAGTCTCTCCACGGGAAGAATATGCAGGGAATATTTTTATGCCAGATGCTGTGCTTGTAGCTAATGCAAAGGCAAAGAGAACATCATCCTACCCTCAAGAAAAGCAGAGTGACAGGATTAGAAATCCATTCACTACTCTATCACCAGTATCTCTATCACTAGAATAGTAAAAATGATAGTTGCATTTAGGGAGTTTAGTACTGCAAATACAATGATTATAGCATGGATATGTTACAATTGTACATTTTTAGTATGCCTTTCTTGAAAAATTTCAACACAGTGATTAAAACTCTGTGCAGACTGACTAGGATTCACTTAACCCTGCATTGTCTCTTTACTCATGTCTAAAACTGAGTTTTTTTTTTACGATTTCAACGTTTATTTTTGATTCAAGGGCCAAATATGTAGGTTTGTTACATAGGTATATTGTGTGTTGCTGAGGTTTGGGGTACAAATGATCCTGGCACCCAGATAATGAACATAGTATCCAGTGGGTAGCTTTTCAGCCCTTGAACCCCTTCCTACCTTCTCCCCCTATTAGTTCCCAGTGTCTACTGTTGCCGTCTTTATGTACATGTGTACCTAGTAATATGGGGATATTAGTAGTACCTCTCTCATTGGGTTATTGTGGGAATTAAATAAGAAAATACATGAAAAGTGAGAAAATGGTACCTTGTATACTTAGCAGTCAACATTTTAGTAGATATTATTATCCATTACCTTTTATTTATTTATTTATTTATTTATTTTACTTTCAACATCTCCAGCCCAAAAGGAACAGTTTCAAGAGGAATTGAGACTCACAGAGGTCAAGTTCCAAGTTCAAGTTTTTATCACTTTACAAGTAGCAGAATCAACATGAGAATCCAGATAGCTTGCCTCCCACACCAACCACCCCCTCACATAGTCTAAGCTGCAGAAAAATCTGACTCAAAAGTTATCTCAGACAGAATCTTTTCATTTATTTCCTTCCCAGACTTTTCATTCTAAAGCAATCTCACAACACTGATTGTTTTGAAACCTCCTTCCATTGCTCCTGCTTCAACTCCTCCAAGAAAGGGCAATGCCATTCAAGGACTTCATCACAGGGAGGGAGGCACCAGCAACAGCAATTAAAAATGCTTTTGTTAGCATTGCTTCATTGTAGAAATTTCTCATCAGAAGTAATTATCTGATATGCTACTATTTTTTTCCTTTGCATTGGGGTTAATTTGTTTCTTAATTAATTCCCCTTCTGTCATGTATTTATTTGGAAACTACTCTACCGAAAGATAAGAAGTTGCCGTCAGGACCACTGTTCACAAGGCAATAGGATGGTCCAGGCTTACACTGCAGGTCAGGTGTCTATGATGGAGGTCACGCGATAAAAAGCAAAGAATACAGACATTCCTAAGATAGCAGCAGTGTTTTATGCTATGATTATAGATTAATAGGTAAATGAATTGAAATAGGACTGCTGACACTTCTGATTAAACCTATGATATTTTGCCTTAATGACACAAAGTTCTCTTTCCAAATTACCATTAAATATGTGCCTTTTTCATGGATTGATATGTACAATTTCAGTATTTCAATATGGAAAGAGCAGCGGTTAGCAGTTTATAATAATGAAGGTCCATGGATTTAATGTAGTAGAGGTGCTTCTACTGATCTATGGAAAATGCAGTTGAAAATTCACAGATTACCTTTCTAATTAGCAGACTTTGGGAATTTAAGAATAGTGTTCCAAAAACACCTGCAGTTAAACTCCAAACAAACGATCCTCCAGGAGGTTTATCAGTGGGACTTTGAACACTAAAAGTGTAGTGTGACTATTTTTGACAACACCACCTGGTATATTGTGGAAATCCCTTTGTTACTAGTAACAAAGTTTTGATTCTTGCCAACACTTTGGCTTCACATTCCAATAAAGCGAACTGCAATACAGGGGAGAATTCAATAGAAGCAACACCTTCAAAAATTATATTTTAAACATAGACCAGATTTCCTTGCCAAGTGGTCAGAATGGCAAAGCATCTTGACAGATTTGCCATCACTTAATAGGGTTGAATTGTCAGTGTGTTTACACAAAGGACTAGTAGTTTTTTTCCCAGGCACAGTGCCTCCAATTTCGGTAGATACCATAAGGTTCACAAATGAGGCCTCATAGAATGCAAACCAGGCAATTAAGCTTTTCCAATAAGGAAAACAGATGTGGTTGAACAAATGATCTAAAATTTGTTCTGAATTTCTCAATAAAAAAGTAAATTCCATCTAAATAAAAATATACATGTGCATTAAGTCTATATTACCTAAGTTTACAAAGTAGTTTTAAGAAAGATTATTTATACAAGATTTAAAGGAATGTAACATCAGACAATATACCCACATAACATATATGTACATGTAACTCCTTGATCTAAAATTAAATTAAAAAGTAAAGGAAAGTAACAATAAATGCAGATAATCCAGAAAATTTCAACTGTTAACAATGTTTATTTAACTGACTCTCAGCTCTTATTTTTACATTAAATAAAGTTTTTGTGTTATCTTTTCTAAGATGCTTCTAGGAATTTAAAAGTTCTTCATCTTTCCTAGAGACCTTTCTCCAACAACCATTATTATTTATGACCTGCTTTTTTCCAGGAAGGATTCAAGGTGACCTGTAATGACAAAAAGAGGAGAACAAATAAAAACACAAGTACTTAGGTAATTACTACCAATGAAATAAAATAGTTTCAAGTAGGCTCCATTTGTTTTAAAGCTCCAATCTTTATATTTATATTATCAACTTACTCAGCATTATTGAGATGACATCATCCCTAGCTTTCAAGAACCCATAGCCTAAGTCAGAATGGGTAGTTTGTTCATCTGATTGCCCTTCCCTGATTCATTCCTTTCAAGTTGGATATCACCAACTCTCTTTTTAAAACATAACTTTGGTCATGTCATTTCCTTAATAAAAAAAAATTAATAGCTTTTTATCTCTTAAAGAACAAAGTTCAAAATACTTATAATTGTATATAAAATTCTTAGTGGTCTCACCACCATCCCTCTATCCTTCTTTACCTTCTACTAATCCCTGTGAGGCCCTGGGTATTCTGAAAATAGGGAACTACCTACTATTAAAGCAAATATGTACTTTCTCATCTCTGTCTTTGTGTTCTCTCTTCTATGTAAAAACCTCATTTCCTCTTTCTCTGCCTGGAAAACTTCCACTTATTCCTCAACATCAAGCCTATATGTTACCTCTATATGGAGGTCTGTGATGAATCATCTGAGTGTAATTAGTTGCTCTTCACCTGTGTTTTTGTGTAAGTTTGTATTCATACATACCTTAAAATTGTATCCTTGGCTATGTTTCTTTGTCTCCCATCAAATTACGACTTCCTGGAGGACTGTAGGGGTACATTGCTCATCCAGGAAAAAAAAAACAAAACTAGATTTTAGAATAGTGCCTTGTATAATCGACATCAGTCAAAGTTTGCTGAATGAGTGATGACAAATTAGCTATTATCACCCTCTCTATTGCTTCTTGAGCATTTACTACATGCCCATCAGTGAGTTAAGTGCTTCATATGTTTTCATTTAATCTTTACATGACTTCATAAACCATGGATTACTATCCTTTTCTTTTGACAGATAAAGAAATTGCAGCTTAAGGAGTTAAAATAACTAGCCGAAGGTCACACAGCTAGTGAGAGGAGCTGAGATTCCAATGCTGGCCTGATTCCAACCCTGTGCACTGTTTGCTTCTTTTGCTTCAATACCATTTGCTTCTTTTGTGTCTGACAGCTCTGTTGAAGTAAAGAGTAGTTAACAAGAAAACAATGAATAACACAATTCTGTTTGCTACAATATGGTGAATATACCTTTGCCCTAAATTATTGCCCCAAGACCTCAAAAGTAAATGATAATCATTTAAGGAAATATTAGGCTATAGCCCTCAGCTATCCCCAAGCATACCCAACAGCTTTTGTCCTTTGGTTAACAACTGACAAAGATTGGCATGCCTTTTGTTATTGATAAGGCCATATTTCTCATATTATTGTTATACAAGTGACTTCAGGGACCACAGAAAAATATAGATTAGCTCAACTTGTGGCTCTGTTAAAACTTCAAGAGACATTGTCAAAAATCAATATCTGAGGTACTAAACGATGTGTTTCTAACAGGTCTTTTGATGTCAAGTCACCCTGGAAGTCATGCTTTCGCAGGTGTTGCTGGCAAACACAAACACTCTTGACACCAGATATGACACAGACTTTTTGATCCTGTTGTTAGGAACTGGAACATGAACCACTTCACTTCTGTGATTTCTCCTGAAAACTAATGCATGGGGGAAAAGGGAAGCAAAGAGCAGATGCAGACTAATTCAGTGGGCAAAATACCTTCTTGTTTGTCTTGTAAGTACCTGCTAAATCTGGATGGAAAGAAAGTTATTCCTGAGATAGTTCCTTGTTAGTAAGGGAACAAGCTAGATATCTGAATGTGGAATAGCATCGTGATGGTGAGAAATATGACATGTCTTTTAATACCAGTCTCCTGAAATGATAGGATTCGAGGAATCCTTTGTGGTCTGCATATCACTTCAACCTAAATGATGAGTTATGAAAATGCCAAAATGAATAACCTTACTATTTAAGAAGTCCTTCAGTTTCAAATGAAGAAAATAAAAGTGTGTGACAATCCTGGTTACAAACTACAGGAGATGAGTGCAATGATTTTCAGAGAGACTTGGGATGGAAAGCAGGGTGACTTTGAGCAATTTTTGAAGGTTTCCACTATGATTAGGGAGTCCTTTGTTTGGAATGTCCATGTGAAATCACTGGTACTGAGCCATGCTGTTGAATGGTGATAACCAATATGGATCTTTGACTCAAGTGTTTTTGGGGCCCATGGCATGTAAGAGTTGTTGACCTCTTCATATTATACTGCGTACACTGGTATTTGCTATACTTCATTATACGATTTCTAAAATCAACATTAATTCCTGGTCTTGGGACATGGGCATCAATTGTTTTCATGCAAATTGTTCCCAGATGTGCTACAGGTAATGTGGCCAAAACAAAACAAAACAAAAAAAGTTACTAATCCTTTTAGCAATAACAATATGATTGGACTCCTTTATGGGCAGATAACTCATATGATGTGAACAGCTTGAATTTCTCAGGCAGTTTTGTCAACTATATACCACCTCCAGTTCCAGTTTAAAATACAAGCCAATCTGGGATTTTGTACAGCTAATAATGTAACTTGAACAAGCTGAATAGGAGGGACACTGAGGTCTCTAAACATCACAAATTCTAGAACTTGTTTTTATGTAATAACCTGTGCTATGAGGTAACAGATGGTTCAAAGTGCAGCAACTCAATGGTTCTCTTCCAGGCACATATATAAGCATTTAATTAAAAGAACTAAACAAAACATTCAGCACTGCATGTGTGACAAAGCAATTAAAGGTGTAGACTTATTCTTAGAAAACAGCCCCAAAAAGATAGGTGAACAGCAGAGAATAAACATGAAGGTTATTATCAAGTCTCCTGATTACAGGGCAGTAGCAATGGTTTATTTTTTAAATGTATATAGTTCAGCTCTGTAAATAACATTCTTCTTGGAAGTGGGCATTTGATGCCTCTTTGTCATCTGGAATTTTTGTAGCTAAGTATAGATCCTCATAAAACTATTTATTATTGTTCCCTTTAATGTATTAGCACAAATTCAGAAGCCAATAACTGTAAAACTTCTGAAAATAATTCTCATAGCACTAAAAAATCACTTTAGTGGGAAACTTGTTTCTACCAGATTCTACATGTCCACAGTCCTTTTGTCTTGTGTTGAAAAAAAAATATTTGGCATTGTGTCAGCATAGAAGGCACAAAGCTCTGTTTGAAATTGATACATCATGTATATCCTGAGTAGAAATAGTAAATAAGGAACTGATGTGGGGGCTCACAAGTGACTGATATTTTCCAGTTCACATTCTCTTTTTTCACAACAGGAAAAGAATAGAGTAAACTGCCTGAGATCTTTCTCATAGCTCATATTCTTTTGCTCCCATGATCACAGCACCTTTCATGATAAGCAATGCACAACATGTGATAAATCAACACACAGAAATAGAAGAAAACTATGTCAGTGTAATAAAAAGCCGTATACTAAAAATATACAGCTAATGTCATACTCAGTGCTAAAAGACTGAAAGTTTATATTCAACATAATATTGGAAGTTCCAACCCCCAGTACCTTAGAATGTGACTTGATTGAAAAATGGTGTCATTGCTTATGTACTTAGGTTAGGATGAGGTCATACTGAAGTAGGGTAGGTTCCTAATTCAGTATGACTGGTATTCTTACACAAAAGCAAAATTTGGATACACACACACACTCATCATTGAAATAAAGCATGGCACCTGGGATCCTAAAAAGAAGGCTCTATGCCTTGTTAGAAAATATCATGAGAAATAAAACTTCCAAATAAATTAGTATTGAACTAAAAATTCCCATCTGTGAATGAGTATGGCTTGGATGCCTACTGTAGCATCATTCCACAATTGGCTATTGATTGTGAAAAAAAATAAAGTTTTAAACATTCCTAAAGCAAGAATAAGGGAGCAAGTGGTGTGAGTTGATTCCTGAAGGTCTAAATCAATTCCTTGTCTTATGTGTCATCTCGTTTTAATAAAAAAATGAATATGACTAGTTAAAGATCCACATTGCACAATAAAATTGTTTATCAGTCATATTTCAGAGTGGCTTCATATTGCCTGCTGGTGGTCAGCTTCCCCGTCGTGTGTGCATGTGCACACGTGCGCACACACACACACACACAAACCCATCATTATAATTAGAAAAGGTTACATGGTAGAGCAGCAAAATATCAATTCCCTCATCAATCCATTTAACAAATATTATAGAGCACCTCTATACTCTGTGAGGCATTGAGAATTCAGAGATTAACGAGAGTTCTCACTCCAGTGGAGAACTTAGTGAATAATCTAGAAATCACCATATATTTTCATTAGTACCATGAGAGAAACACATGAGGGAATGAAAGAGGCTCAGAGAATGGGCACACAAGTCATTCTGAAGTCAGGCATTAGAACGGTTCCTTAGAGAAGAAGCCCTTGAATGGATTAGCTGAGCAGACAAGTGGTAAAGGTCATTCTAGACAGAAGGAACATCACAGTAAGTCAGAGATTCTCCATAAAGTTGAGTTTATTTGGAAGAAAAAAATATATTGGGAAAATGGTGGCAGATATTTAATAACATTTAGCAATGGTTTGTTAGACAACTACTGCAAGTAAAGCCCATTCTAAATTACACCAGCTTATAACTACAACAATGGGGAAAAGACACAAATACTAATTTTTTTTGTCCTTGCAATAGTTTGCTGAGAATGATGGTTTCCAGCTTCATCCAAGTCCCTACAAAGGACATGAACTCATCATTTTTTATGGCTGCATAGTATTCCGTGGTGTATATGTGTCACATTTTCTTAATCCAGTCTATCATTGTTGGACATTTGGGTTGGTTCCAAGTCTTTGCTATTGTGAATAGTGCCGCAATAAACATACGTGTGCATGTGTCTTTATAGCAGCATGATGTGTAATTCTTTGGGTATATACCAGTAATGGGATGGCTGGGTCAAATGGTATTTCTAGTTCTAGATCCCTGTATGCATATGTAACAAACTTGCACATTGTGCAAATGTACCCTAAAACTTAAAGTATAATTAAAAAATACCAATTTTATAACATTGCATCTGCTGGCAAACATAATCATATCTGGCCAAGTCCAGCATTTCTTCTTGAGCAAAATTAATCACATCTGTGACTTGATAACCTGCAATGAAAACATTGCAACACCTAAGTCCTGGATAAATTCAAAACACCAAGAAAATGGGTACCGCATAATATCTGAACATTGAAAATAAAATGACAGTACATGCTACACATGGAAAGAGATTCTGCTAAACATAACTTACTTGCATGCCGCCTCTCAGGCCCTAGGAACTAATGGGTTCTGCTATAAGGCCATTGTGTTTCTCACATAAATCAGAAAGCCAAATCTGACTCTGATATTTATAGCTTGAAGCTTTCATTGCCCCCGTGGAAATTTCCCAGTAGACTCTTAGACTATCATTGTTATCTCTGTTGATGGCCAGTCAGTAAACGAATGTTTATGGAGTCACCACAAAGCACAGACTGACAAATGAAAAGCATACTTTTGATAGCAAGGGATGATTGGTCATGATCCTCAAATAAAGGAGTTTATGGCTTCAGAACAAAAAAACAGACAAACATTATACCTTGAAATATATCATTGCATCATTATAGTGAGAGGAATCCATTACGAGCTTGGATTGCAGAATGGACTGGATAAATATGACAAAAGTGAGTACAGTGAGTGGTCCCAGAATTCCTACCACTTATGGGTTCCTCAGTAAGATCTCTATGCACTCTTTACCTTAGTTTCTCAAGCTATAAAATGGGATAATGGTAGTATCTACATCATAAGAATGCCCTGAGGATTAAATGAGAAAACACATCTGCAACAATTAGAACAGTAGCTGGCACAAAAATATTAGGACTACTGAAAATACTAGGGATCTTTAAAAGGCTTCCCCAAAAAAGCCTTACCCAAAAAAAAAGGTAGTCTGAAAACAGTAACTTAGAGAATAGGAAAACTGAAATAGCTCTTCTTTGTTCACTTCTGAGGAATTCTGAATTGGAATCTAAACAGGATAAACCACTTAATAATCCGTCTTTGACTTTAGCCACCCTTAGATTTCTGGCACTTGCTGAACTGCAATATTGAATTTTGCATTTATAATTTCATTTTTTCTAGTTTTTTCTTCTTTCTTCACCTGTGTAATTTTAACTTAAACTCAGGAATTTACATCTCTTCCTATATAATATCACCTTGTTTCCTGAGAGGGAAACTAGTCCTTTGAGAAAATCAAGAGACTGAGCTCTAATCTTAGGCTTTCTGCCTATTAGTTGTCTAAATTTTGAAAAGTCACTTCACCCTGTGAGATTGTTTTCTCACCTATAAAACAAAAGGTTTAGATCATCTTCACAGTTTCTTCTATCTCTACAATGTAAAGATCTTATTGCTTATTTATGCTTTTTTCAATGGCATTAATACAAATGTAATTTTATTTGGCCACTATAAATATAGAAATATAAGACTTTATATAAGACTTATATAAAGACTTGGAATAAATATAAGACTTTCTTCCAAGCTGCTGTCTTTGAGTACGTTTAACTGTATTATCCAACTCCTATCACTTTCTCTTTTCCTCAAGAGTCCAAGCAATGTCACCAATAACTTATTAAAGTCATGGTCCTCCAGGCTGCAACTCTTCCTTATATAATGTTGAAAAGATGGCCCCCTGGTAAAATTCACTCTTATTAAACCCATGCTGATTCCTAGTACTTTCCTCGTTCAGTTCTAAGTGTTTCCATGCTCTCTGTTAGCAAACTTTGTTCTAGAAGATTACCAAAGCACATCATGCTTATTCATTTATATTTCTTCTTGATTTATATATCCAGAATTTGTCCTTCCTCCTTCCCTTTCACCCTGTCCCTTTCACCCTGTGGGAGTCCTCCATTGTGTGTTTTTCAAGAATTATTGATAGTGATTTCATAATGTAATCTGCAATTTCTTCCAGAATTCATTACTGGGGACAAACTCCATTCATCTGATTATGGGGTGGTTTTTTTTTTTTGTATTCTCTCCTACTTTTGAGTGTGATAACCTTTTTATATTATTTGTACTGCCATTTCCATGTTAGAAACCATTCTCAATGGAGAGAATGAGAAAGTAAGAGGGATGGAGCAGCATCTTTCTTTTATTCATATAGAACCAACTTTCCCATTTGATGATTCTGTATCTTCCTGCCACATCTTCTCCTGAAACATAATTTCAAATCAAAACAATAGCAATGACAAAAATCACTTTGATGCATTTTCACATTCTGCGCTTTAGCGTCCCTTATTTTTACAGGCTTATGTCAATCTTCTATGTTGTATATGGGGACGCCCCCAACATACATACAGACAGCACCCATTCTGTGTTGCTGGTTCTTCTAACACCAAAATCCCCCAAATGCAGCCTAGCACCCAGTGGATTCTTTAGAGTTTTCATCTTCTCTTTCTTGTTGAGACTATTCTGTATTGTATGAATTATTTTTATAGTCCTCCTGTATTCCATTTTAGAGTCTTAATTTATGTGAAGCATATCTCTTTTAAAGTATTTTTTTCCAAAGCATATATAACTACATCCTGTTTTTCCTTCCTCCACTCTATCTAATAATAACATAATTGGGTAACTTTCTTCCAAAATTTTACATTACTTCTCCATTCTAAAACAATTTTTCTTTTATCATTCAAAATGATGTCCAGTGTAGGAGTTCCTTTATTTCTTTATGCTTTCTCAGAGAAACCATATGGCCAGTAAAGTAAGTCAAGAATATTCCAGAACCAAGCTTTTAGACAAATGAGACAGGAACCCAGTTAACAACTACCTGGATATTCCCCAACCCTAGTTTTAAATTTATGTTAAAAGGAAAGTTCCTGCTAACAGCAACTAGGCAGTCTATGGTGTATACCATAATATTGCTTCTGTTCCTCTTGTTCTTTCTACCTGGATGCCTTTCTGTGTTTGAAGCCTCAGGTTTATAGTCACACAGTAGAAGGTAGAGAGGAAGCTGTGAGGGGATAGCCATAGTCCTTGAAGTCAAAACACCTGGTTTTACACCTTGATTTCACCCACACATTCTAACCATATGGCTATGAACAAGTTTCTTCACCTAGCAGAACTGTTTTTGCATATCTAAAATAGAGATAATAATATCCACCATAAAAAGTTATTGTGACTATCAAAAGAGCAAAATATGTTTGTGTGTGTGTGTGTGTGTATGTACATACCCAGTACATTGGTACTTGGTTTTACAACAGAATAAACACATTTTTTAAATGAATAAACCAAACTAACATTCTTCTTTACAAATAAGGCTGAGGTGGATGAGAAAGAGAAAGGAGAGAGACTTATAATCTATTGCCTCCCATGGTGTTTACTTTTAAGCATTTTAACCCTTTTAATCTAAAGAAACTAATTTTAAAAGGAGCAGCTCACTGTGATAAAATTACTTCAATACTTCACTCCATGATTCATTTGTATTACATGTGTTTCTAATGTAACTCTGAATATCGTAAGTTTGACTATATTATCACCCCATGCTATTCAATATAGGTGATACAAT
This sequence comes from Homo sapiens, assembly GCF_000001405.40. NCBI lineage: Eukaryota > Metazoa > Chordata > Mammalia > Primates > Hominidae > Homo > Homo sapiens. The sequence goes on from NC_000007.14 coordinate 86,783,878, forward strand.
TGAGATAATACTTACTATGTTCCAATTTCACGTTTCAACTCACCAAATGTGCCTCCTTTTTCTAGAGTCAGTTGTGGTCTCCTCATTAAACACACACACACAGAGGAACATAAAATTATTCTTAAAATGTTGGCAATAGTTGCTGTTTTATTCTAGCCCACAGCCTTCCCCAAAGTTACAGCTCATTGTGCCCCTTTCCAATGCAGAGAATCTTTCCCACATTGCTGTTATTCTATGGCTAGTTCGTTCTCTTGCAAAGCCTGCCTTCATTGTAAATTATTCTCGTACATCCTGGAGAGTTAGACATGAAGCCTATCATTGAAAAACAAGAACTTTTTTGTTTTTTTTTTGAGCAGTTTCTCATTACTCCTACCCCTATGGGAGAGGAAATTTCAGCAGTTTAGGATTGTTTCACTGTGATTCTTCGCTGCCAGAAAATAATGTCCAGATATTTTTTAGGTCCTTTCATTCTCTGTCTCCCTGAGGGGTTCAGGTCCTGATTAATATAACTTGAAGATGAGAAAATCATTGTATCAAGAAGAGATGGCCTCTCCAGTGCTAGCCAGAAACCTCTTAACAAAGTCAAGCTATGCATAGACAGGGCTCCTATCACCAAGCCTTCCATAGTGGTACATAAATCCAGTGGAAGCCAGGCACTCATTCTAGAAGTAATGACAGTACCTGTTTGGTGACACCTGCCATTTCAGTCAGGCTGAGTGAAGCAATATTCCTATGCCTAAATAAGTCAGTATAGGCCATTTTGTCCAGAGTCTCCTAGTCCTGAGAAGAGAAGAAATAAATAATATATTAGCCTTTACCCCTTCATCCACCCATTCACCTCCATTCCCCTGGATTAAAGAATACTAAATGCAAGAAAGATTTGGGGTTTTAATTTTGCATTATATTGTGTGTTAAGCCCCAGATTTCTAGCTGTTTTATTTGTGGTTGAGAGGTAGCAGGATTGGAAAAGATATAGAAGATATTTTTGATAGCTCTGGACTATATCTAGTGTTGATTTTAATAGCAGGCCAGATATCCAAGAACATGCTGTGTAGCTGTGTATGAACTTGGCTGTTGGTTTCTCTTGCCAGATGAAATTATGATTAATCGGGGCTCAGATGTCAGTTGTTTTATGTTGCTTGTGCTCTTTGCTAACAGCTGCCTATTTCAAGCTGTGCTTGCTACATGTCAAATATAAACGTGAAACCACAATTTCCAAAAGGAAAAATTTCAAAGTACTAATATTCATGCCAATGTAGACAGAGCATACTGTAATAGTCAATGTCATTTCTGATTAAAATCCACTTAGTATGTTACATAATTTAACTTAAGTCAGTATAGAGAAAGAACTCTCCTACGTGAGGTAGACAGGAGAAATTATTTTTAAAAGCTAATTATTCAGTATGCATATAATCTGTTTAGATATTTGTAAATATATATCTCTTCAAATACTGTATGCATAAAATGCTCCTCAATAAACAAGTGTCACTTTCCTTTTTATTCTACAATAAATAAAAATGATAAATATTGTTGATAGTCAATTATAAAAAATTTAAATATTTGATTCAGATTTAGGTTTAAATACTTGGAAGTAAGTGGTCTGTTCTTGACAAGGTCCTCAATACCTTTTAATTTTTTTTAATCAAAAATGATGTAAGAATAGAATTCTATATTATTTCTTTTCACATAGTCCAAGCAGAAAAATATTTTAAAAAGAAAAAGAAAGTAAAGAAAATATTGGTCAAGATTTTCAGGAGTTTAGAAAAGCGTATGCCTAAAATGTTGGGTGGTGGACTAAATAGAATTGATTTTTTTTTTTTTTTTTTTTTTTTTTTTTTTTTGCTTAACCTAGATGATAAATGTCTAATCTGGACTGCCCATGTGGCATGCAGTTCCCAAATTAAACTCTTTCAGAGACTGCCGTTTTTAGCAAAAGAGGGGGAAGTGAGAATTAGACAACACCCTTGCTCTTTCTATACAAGTGCAGTCAAAAACCGAGTTTGGCCAATTCACTGTAGTTCATTGCTTGAGCTATATATAGCAGGACCCCAGAAACTTAAAGAAACCTGAGAGCCCATGGACAGGTTTTATCCTAGTCTAGAGTCTAGCACAGAGTATAGAAGAGAGTGTGGTGCCCTTCTCATTTCTCTACTCTGCCCTTTCCTGAAGCACACACTACCTGTGTGAGACCTGCTTCCTAGTGTCCAAAATACAGTATCCAAGGAAGCATCTGGTATTCATCTCAAGAACTAACAGAAAAATGTAGCCATCTAGAGTAGAGGGAAAAGGGAGTCAGTAAAAGGTGTGGATGCTATTATTCATTTTCATGTCCAGTCATCTACCTCGGGGTTTCTAACAAAGGTCCTTCTTCTCCCTCCCCTAGGTGGCAAACCTGCTGCGGCTCTTCCAGATCCCTCAGATCAGCTACGCATCCACCAGCGCCAAACTCAGTGATAAGTCGCGCTATGATTACTTTGCCAGGACCGTGCCCCCCGACTTCTACCAGGCCAAAGCCATGGCTGAGATCTTGCGCTTCTTCAACTGGACCTACGTGTCCACAGTAGCCTCCGAGGGTGATTACGGGGAGACAGGGATCGAGGCCTTCGAGCAGGAAGCCCGCCTGCGCAACATCTGCATCGCTACGGCGGAGAAGGTGGGCCGCTCCAACATCCGCAAGTCCTACGACAGCGTGATCCGAGAACTGTTGCAGAAGCCCAACGCGCGCGTCGTGGTCCTCTTCATGCGCAGCGACGACTCGCGGGAGCTCATTGCAGCCGCCAGCCGCGCCAATGCCTCCTTCACCTGGGTGGCCAGCGACGGCTGGGGCGCGCAGGAGAGCATCATCAAGGGCAGCGAGCATGTGGCCTACGGCGCCATCACCCTGGAGCTGGCCTCCCAGCCTGTCCGCCAGTTCGACCGCTACTTCCAGAGCCTCAACCCCTACAACAACCACCGCAACCCCTGGTTCCGGGACTTCTGGGAGCAAAAGTTTCAGTGCAGCCTCCAGAACAAACGCAACCACAGGCGCGTCTGCGACAAGCACCTGGCCATCGACAGCAGCAACTACGAGCAAGAGTCCAAGATCATGTTTGTGGTGAACGCGGTGTATGCCATGGCCCACGCTTTGCACAAAATGCAGCGCACCCTCTGTCCCAACACTACCAAGCTTTGTGATGCTATGAAGATCCTGGATGGGAAGAAGTTGTACAAGGATTACTTGCTGAAAATCAACTTCACGGGTAAGCCAAGAGCCTTTAAACATCTTCTCAGATGCAAACAAGTGAAATAAAATAGGAATCAAATGCCTCTGTGCCCAATTCAGAAATAATTATTTCAAAGCCATAAAAAGGGTTCAAACTGTTAACCAAATATTCCAGGATGCAATAGGATGGTTCTCTAACATTCTTACTCATTTCTGAATGAACATCTCGGCTGGTACACGACATGGCAATGAAAGGGGCCCCAGGCAGGGCTGACAGCCCACTGTGGTAGCTCCCTAGATTAGGGCCAGGCTAGATTTGAGCTCTTTGTTGATGTTGGCTGCAGGATTATGGCATGTGTGATATGGGCACTTAATCTTCTTTAGCAGAATTGGCACCTCTCTAGGGAACATGAACTTCCAAGCCTTCTTTGTGGGTGACTTGAGCAAAAGAATCTCATAACTTTCACAGTGGGTGACAGAGAGAGAGAGAGAGAGAGAAGTCACTGTTCTCCCAGAGCATAATTAGGGGCAAAACAGAAAAGATACCCAGACCCTAGTGATTTCTAGGCATTCCGTTTATTTTTCTGCTATACCAAAACATTTATATATTATTAATAGTTGGGGATTTTCTCAAAATATGTTATGAAATGAAACTCTTTTTCTGGGAGCTTGACTATAAGCAGGTTGAAGACTAATGGAATTCATTCTGATACAGTAGTGAACATCATACAAAGGTGTATTCAAAGTGAAAAGTGATTTTTGCTGCCTCTTTATTTCTAAATACAGTCTAAATATTTCTCTAACTATAGTATTGCATTGAATGCATTACTACGTAAAAAGCACAAAATCTTTAGGTCTACATTCTCTACTTAGGTACATGGGATATCTGCTTATTAAGGCACTTGTTCTGGGTAGTATAGCTTAATCCCAAATCATAAAATATTAAGTAATATTTGGGGCACAAAGATTTTGATGCCAAAAACATTACAGTGATAAAATGCTTTCATCAACCTGAATTACTAATACCTCTCATGCCACTCAGGCATCGTTCCAATCTGCACAATGTCTAGTCTGCTTCCACAGAAGTATCATCCAAGACCTGAAAGTTTATATGCTCAGATCATACTACCATTGGCGCAAATGGCAGTTCTCACATCTCCCTTATAAGTGGTCACTCAGAAGTCAAGTGGTCTATGAAATCACAGGTAATAATGAAAAAAATGCCTCATGACCATTGGCTTCTATTCCATAATTCTTACCTGCAAGGCAGCCTTGAAAATAAGCACAAAAATCACCACACTGCATGTTGCATAACTTCTTTACTTTCCCCAGAGAGGGCCGAAAGTAGTCAAAATCAATTATGTCAGTAATTCCTCCAATTAATCTGATGGATACCACTTCTTATCATTAGAATGACTACTAAAACTGGTAAAGATTAAACTTTTTCTGTGCCCTGTATTCCCATGAGTGTATTTCATATAGCAATAACAAAAATAAATAAATAAAAAGAGTAATAAATGAGCATTCATCTTCAAATCCCAGGTTAGTTCCTGTTGACATCTCTAAAAATTGAGAATGGACCTTGGAGTCAGTAAAAAAAGAATATCTTTACTCTAAAAATAAATTAACTCTCAGGTATTCGTAAAAGGTATCTGCAATGCACTTAATTCTTAAAGATGAATAAGAATTCAGCACATACTCCCCATCAGACTACCCTTCAGGGTATTATTTATCTTTACTCACCACATATATTAATTAACTTTGTTATTCTAGTTCCTTTCTTACTTTTTAGTATGCAAATATACAAATATATTCACTCATCAACAGCTAAAATAAAATGAACGCTTAGAATTCAGAGAGCCTTTGCAAGGTGTTTTATGGAACCAAAACATGTTCCTTCATTCCAGTGACTTCTTGGGTCTTAAAAGGCAAAGAAAAGTAAAGAAACAAGCCCATTATTTGGATAAACAAAACAAAAGTATCCTCTTTTTGTCTGTCTTGTTCAATTACTCTTTTCAAGTCTACCGTTCAGTTTGGCTGTGCAAACCTGACCACAAAGTGCTATTTTAGCCTTCTCAATTTGACAGACATTACCAGTCATTCTCCATCTCTGAAGAGAGTAGGAGGGTGAAAAACAGATTTAAACTACATAAAAGAGAGGGAATTTAGACCAGCCACAAGGTAAATATTCTCAGCAGTGAGAATTGGACAAGAAAATACATTACTAAGGGAGGATACCAAAATGCTAAGTTAGCTAACTAGTACATTTAAAAAATAAGTCAAAGAACTAACTATAGTAATAGAATGCAGATTTTAGCTTACAGTAACCTGTATATGACTAAATATATGTATATTTTTAACTTAGAGCTAGGTAAAAGATTATAAGTATGTATGCATTATTACTGCTTTAAGCTTGAGATGCACTATGGAATATTTTTTCCTAGCTATTGAAAAGCAGATTTGTTTTACTTTTTTTCTGAAACAGTATCTTTGTTTTTTCTAACTTGAATATTGTGGCAATAAACTAGGCACAATAGTACACACTTAGCAGACACTAAACAGTCTGTTCAATTAGGCTGAAAAAAGTCTTCTTCTGGCTATTTGCATGTACTCAATACATTTACTCCAAGATTCTTCTGACAAGGGACACTTTTAGCCAATTCCCCAATAGCTCTCATCATTATAGGATTAAAAAACTAGGCCTCCTGTGAATTTAAAAATAGATTAAAATACTCCCTGGTACTCAGATGTGTTCCCACTAGCTAATTCCAGCATTGGTCAACATGGATCTTGTTTGAAGCTAACCCAGTTTAAATATTCCTTTTGCAAAACAGATTTTTAGAGCTATGCCTTGCTAAAGATTCTTCCAAATAGTAATCTCTCCTGGCACAGGAGCTAACCACTGCCCAGGTCTCTAGGCTCATCTCCTGCTGTACACTCCACATTCACTCTTCCTTCCATTAGCACTACTTGCAGTTCCCCAAACATGGCATGCCTCTATTTTTGCCTGCATACTTCCTGTGAATGCTATTTCTTTATCTAGAAGATTCTCTCCCCACCCCCACCTGCCTTATCTGGCATCTTCAGTGATTCCTGTGTCTCTTTGAGATCCAATTTAATTGATAGTTCCTTTAGGAATCATTCCTATACTTCCCAAACTAAGATAAATGCCCCTTCTTATGCCCATATCCATCTGGGATTTTGCCTTCCTTCATACTTTATATCCAATACACCAAAATCTCTTGTTGGCTCTACCTTCAAAATAGATCCAGAATCTGATGACTTATCATCTTCTCAACTGCTACCACCCTGGTCCATACCACCATCTCTAGCCTACATTTCTGTGATAGCCTCCTAGTTGATTTATTCTTACCTACTTCAACCTAGCCTCCACAATCTATTCTCTACATGATAGCCAGGATGCCCTTTTAAAATCTAAGTCAAAGTCCTTCCTCTACTCAGAACCACTTGAGTTCCCTTGTTTCACTCATAGTGAAAGTCAACAGCCTTACAATGTCCTGCACACCACCCTCCCTGCTCTGCCCCTACCTATCCTGACTGCTCTCCTGTCCTCACCTTTTACTCTCCTTCTTTCTCACTTCACTCCAGCCACCCTTGTTTCCAACATTAGGGCTTTTCCACTGCCAGTTCTCTCTGCCTATATTGCCCCTAACCCAGATATTTCTGTGGTTAATCCATTCCCTACTTCTTTCAAATATTCATGTAAATGTTATCTTCTCAATGAGACCTACTCTGGCCATTCTTAACAGTGTAATGCATTACCCCCAACCCCCACTACAGATGCCCCTATTTCCCTTGTACCCTGCTCTACCTTTTGTTTTTTCACCCCATGACATTTTCCCCTTCTGTCATACTACATCATCTATTACTTTCATATTTAGTCTTTATTGTTTGATCCTCACACTAGAATATAAGCTCCACAAAAAACAGAAATCATTATCAATTTTGTTCACAAATGCATCCCAAGCATAAAAGGTGTTCAGTAAGTGTTGATTTTGAATAGCAGTTAACCCAAACTTACGTTTTCTTCTCTACCTTTATTACTAGCTTGTGGGCTCTTTCAAGGCATGGTACATATATTTCATCTCTGATCTCAAATACTCAGCATGGTTTCTGGCATAGAGCAGACATTATGTAAATGTTTACCAAAGGAATGAGAAATTATAAAAGCAAGCAATCAATTTATAATATGATTGCTTTGAAAAAATTTTAATATATAAATTTTGTTCATTAACAAATGAATGTCAAGAAAGGAAAGTGTATGACTTCTAGAGTGGCTTGCTTTTTTACCTAAGTACTCTCTTTTAGTTATATTCTATCATTTCATTTGAGATAAATGTAACCAAATATCATTAAAGCTGGAAGAGACCCATCACTGTTTTATAGATGAATCCCAAGAATTGAAAGTGATTCGCCCAAGATCAGTCAGCTGGTTAGTAACAGGGGCCAGGACTGTTAGCTCGTTAGTAACAGGGGTGAGGTGAAATTCATGTCACCTGACCCAGTGCTGCTTTTGCATGTGCACGAGGACTCTGGGAAATTGATGTATTTGATCCCAAACATCTACCACAGTTTCTGATCCATTCTAAATATTAATGAAATGCTATTGAAGGAATGAAAGATGATCAATAGGTTTATAGTATGTTTCCTTTTTTTATTTCTTTTTAAGATACCTTTAATGCTCCTGGTCTACTTTTTCAGTTGACACAAAGGTGGTTCATCAAACACCCAAACTTTGAACGCTGAGCCTTGGATTCCAAACCTTAGTATATTTAAAAATAAATAAAGTTTCAAATCATTTTTTAATTGTTCAGTAAAATTATTTCCATGTGCAAGAGTTATGTCATCCAGAATCCTAAAGTAAATATTTAAATGAGAATTATGTTTGGTGTCATGTGAATTTTCAAACTTACTTTGAGTAAAATTTCAGAATTTATGATGTAAAAGAAAGCTTAAACTATGCAATACAGTTAAGAAAAAGGAAGTCGAGAGGTCTATGAAACATCTAAAGAAATGGAATATCACTGTGATTGTGTTCACAGTACAGTACATTCTTTCTCACTTTTTATCCTGAGACCAGTTCCAGAAAGTCGAATAGAATAAAATCATAGAGTTACAAAAGGCCTTCCTCAAAGATGAGCTTGCCCCTACTTCTCACTTGACAGAGGTGAAAATTCAGGATGTCAGCATTATTATCTTCACTTACTGAAGCACATAAAAATGAACTCAACTGTCAGAGTGATGTGGTAACTGGAGTATACCCAATTTGAAGGAAAAAAGAAAGAGCTTCCATTTGCTAAGCATAACTGCCAGAAGTGCCCCAAGACACATCCAATGTCACGTAGGCATTATCTCAGGAATAACATTTATGCCATTCCTCTCTGCAATTCTTAGGGTTAGGCTAAACTGTTTGAGAATGGAGAAATTGAGAACTTGACACAAAAGAAAATTCATCCAAGTTCACATAATGAATAGGTGACAGAGTAAATGCCAAGGTCCTGATTTAGTCATTCATTCCACAGATACGTTTAGATGTCATGCTGGGACCTGAGGACCCAACAGTAAACAAGGCAGATGCAGTCCCTGCTTCATAGAGCTTACACAGACATTTAACCACCAAAAACAATTCTAAAGTATAAAAGCATGATTATTATGGCTTACAATGTTAGGGTGTTGCCCTAGGATTTTTGTTCTGCTTTGGTTTGGATTGGGAAATTACTATGTATCTTACACCCAGAAAAGATCTAGGATCCCTGAAGAAATCTTACTCCCAGGGCTTCACTTATATGTGAAGAGGACAATTCCCTGTTACTGATGGACTCATCATAACAGGACTGAATAGTATGTACAGCTAAGCTAAGACAGTTTTCTTTTTTATTTGTTTGCTTGGTTGGCTTAGTTCATTGGTTGGTTGCCTTTTTTTTTTTTTTTTTTTTTTTGCTACCAGTGAAGAGACAGACTACTGGGATCAGAGACCTAGAGCCTGGTGGAGACAGTCCAGCCTTCTTCTTATGTTTACAATTCTCTACACCTGGAAGAGGAGAAGAGGCAGAAAATGGGTAGTCCAGCCTTGCCACCCTACTCACCTCTGTGTCTGATTCATCCAATAGGAACAAGGTTCACTCCTGGTTGGGACTATAATCACAGAGCACAGGCCAGGAAGGGCAGATTTTCTGGGACACTGCACTCCAAGGAATAACGTTTTAGCTGGCCCCAACCCAGCAAGGCTCTCCTCTTGAAAAGTACAGGGCCATCCAAGGCACAGTGAGGAAGCCAAAATGGTAATGGCCACATCTTTAGATGAATGGGCTTTGAAGTCCCTGAAAGAGCAAACTGCTCTTGATCTTGCTTCCTCCCCTGGAACATTTGTAGTTCCCACAAAAGCACAGAAACTTGTTCCAGCTCTGCTGATCAAAAGCATTTCCAAAATGTAAAGATAAATATCCTGTACTTCTTTCTTCCCCCTTCTCTCTGGTCAGCTTCCTGGGGTCATAAGAATAAGATTTTAAACCCCCAAAGGGCACCACTAATGTGGTCACTTATTTGTTTATGCACCGTGCATCTGTGCTTTGGTGTCTTAGAGGCTTGAGAAATGATTCCCATTTTAAGGTCATGCTGTGGAGAACAGGAGCCTCTAGGAAACCTAATTTTCCACTTAGGCTTGTGCTTTCTGCTGCTGCTGCTGCTGCTTGTTATTTTTACTATTATCATTATAGTTGTTATTATTATTGTCATTATTATTTAATAATCCTTAATTTATTATGAGTCATTTATACATCCTGTGAGGCAGAAAAAAGTAATGATCCCCAATGAAGTATGAAAGAAATGGATCATACCACCTTGCTAGTCAGAAAAAATTACAGTAAAAATACTATTTCCTTGATGTTTCCAGACTTTTTTGGATACTGTGGTATGTTTACAGGAATATCACTTGCAAAGGTATCTGGAGATTGGAAAAAAATATTCTAAGTATTTTTTTTTAAATGTAACTAAAATCCTGTTTAAAAATCAGTTTACCTTATCTATGTCCCTTTCAAGATAGCTTGTATTATCCCAACAAGAACATAGTCTTCTAAAGGTTTCTAATCTCTGGAAACTTTGTCATAGTAGAGTTAAAAACATAGTTTTTTCCACTTCTGTATACCTTTATGCTATTACTTATCCTGAGCAGGACACTGAGAAGCCAACATACATAAAGGAACTATTTTCAGTAGGTTCAGAAAAGCTATCAGATTGCTGTACTCACCAGGATAGCAATCACATACTGAAATAGAGGAATGTTCTCTAAAGAACTTCAAACAATTATACTGTTATCCAATGGACCATGAGTGTATGGGAAGCTATCCTAAAGTTGAGTTTAGTAAGCCTTCACAGAAACATAGCAAAATTTTCATAATGCCTGAGCAATGAGCATACATCCTAAAGATTAAGGATGCTGATGTTATACTCTGAGGATCAGGCATTGAGAAGGATGGCTAAAGAACTTGAAAACTAGTCACCATTTTCACCTGCCTCTTACCAAAAGCACTTAGCAGGGGTCCACAATACTTCTTATCACTTTATGTGACATCAGCAGGCAAGGTTAGCTAGTCAGTCTATGTTTCTTCCCTGAACCCCTAGCATGGTTCCTGGGGCTACTGTACCTACACTCCAAACTATGATAATCAAAGGATTCATTCCACTGTCTAAAGTATATTAGAATTTGTTAACGTGGCAGAGTCCTCTGAAGTCATAGTAATAACATTCCAGAATATTCAAAGATTTCATTCTCTTTTGTCTTTAAAAAAAAAAAAAACAATTTTACTAGCACAGAGTTGACCATAACTTAAATTTACAAAATAACATCTCAACCACCAACTACAAAATCATATTCATACACACAAAGCTGCTGGACCAAGTATGATTAGATAGTCTAAGATTGCCATTAATATTAACCTACTACTTGTCCATTCATTCTCCCTAGCACACAAGAAGTAAAGTAACGAAAGTTTCTCAAATGTATGTTTTTTTTTTAAATTAAGGCAGTTTAATGTATTACTTTAACCAGCCACTTTGGAAAAGATGATTATTTCTCTTTTACTTTTAGAGTGGGGTTAACACATACAGAACCGAAGTATAGGAGGATAAGTTAAGAGCCATTGGTCTAGGTTAGTTTTTATTTTATTTTATTTTATTTTATTTTATTTTATTTTATTTTATTTTATTTTATTTTATTTTATGTTCCAGGATACAAGTGCAGAACATACAGGTTTCTTGCACAGGTAAACATGTGCCATGGTGGTTTGCTGCACCTATCAACGCATCATCTAGGTATTAAGCCCCACATACATTAGCTATTGATCCTGGTGTTCTCCCTCCCCCTGCACCCCGACAGGCCCCAGTGTGTGTTCTCATTGTTCAGCTTCCACTTATAACTGAGAACATGTGGTGTTTGGTTTCCTGTTCCTGTGTTAGTTTGCTGAGGACAATGGCTTTCATGTCCATGCAAAGGACATGATCTCGTTCCATTTTTTGGCTGCATAGTATTCCATGGTGTATATGTACCACATTTATTTTTATCCAGTCTGTCATTGATGGGCATTTGGGTTGGTTCCATGTCTTTGCTATAGTGAATAGTGTTGCAATGGACAGAATGATTTACATTTCTTTGGATATATACCCAGTAATGAGATTGCTGGGTCAAATGGTATTTCTGGTTCAAGGTCTTTGAGGAATTGCCACACTGTCTTCCACAATGGTTGATCTAATTTACATTCCCACCAATAGTGTAAAAGCATTCCTATTTCTCCAAAGCCTTGCCACCATCTATTGTTTCTTGACTTTTAAATAATGTTTATTAATAAGTTTAAGTTCCTTGTAGATTCTGGCTTTGTCAGATGAACAGATTGCAAAAATTTTCTCCCGTTCCGTAGGTTGGTTGTTCAGTTGAGAAGTCTCTTTTGCTGTGCAGAATCTCTTTAGTTTAATTAGATCTCATTTGTCAATTTTTGCTTTTGTGGCAATTGCTTTTGATGTTTTAATCATACAATCTTTGCTCATGCCTATGTCCTGAATTGTATTACCTAGTTTTTCTTATAGGGTTTTTATAGTTTTGGGGTTTACATTAAAGTATTTAATCCATCTTGAGTTAATTTTTGTATAAGGTACAAGGAAGGGATCCTATTTTAATTTTCTGCATATGGCTAGCCAGTTTTCCCAGCACCATTTATTAAATAGGGACTCCTTTCCCCATTGCATGTTTTTGTCAGGTTTCTTAAAGATCAGATGATTGTTGATGTGTGGTCTTATTTCTGAGATCTCTATTCTGTTCCATTGGTCCATGTGTCTGTTTTTGTACCTGTACTATGCTGTTTGGGTTACAGTAGCCTTGTTGTATAGTTTGAAGTCAGGTAGCATCATGCTGCCACCTTTGTTTTTTTTGCTTAGGACTCTCTTGGCTATATGGGCTCTGTTGGTTCCATATTAATTTTAAAGTAGTTTCCCTAATTCTGTGAAGAATGTCGATGGTAATTTAGTGGGAAAAGCATTGAATCTATAAATTACTTTGGGCAGTGTGGCCATCTTCACGATACTGATTCTTCCTATCCATGAGCATGGAATGTTTTTTCATTTGTTTGTGTTCTCTCTTATTTCCTTGAGCAGTGGTTTGTAGTTCTCTGATACGGTTTGGCTGTGTCCCCACCCAAATCTCATCTTAAATTATAGCTCTATAATTCTCACATGTCATGGAAGGGACTCAATGGGTGGTAATTGAATCATGGGGGCAGGTCTTTTCCACGCTGTTCTCATGATAGGGAATAAGTCTCATGAGATCTGAAGGTTTTATAAAAGGGCAGATCCCCTGTGAATGTTCTCTTGCCTGCTGCCATGTAAGATATGCCTTTGCTCCTCCTTTGCCTTCTGCCTTGATTGTGAGGCTGCCCCAGCCATGTGGAATTGTGAGTCCATTCAACATCTTTTTCTTTATAATTACCCAGTCTCAGGTATGTCTTTATTAACCGAGTGAAAATGAATTAATACAATAAATTGGTACCAGTAGAGAGGGGTGTTGCTCTAAAGATACCTGAAAATGTGGAAGCGACTTTGGAACTGGGTAACAGGCAGAGGTTGGAACAGTTTGGAGGGCTCAGAAGAAGACAGGAAAATGTGGGAAAGTTTGGAACTTCCTAGAAACTTGTTGAATGGTTTTGACCAAAATGCTGATAGTAATATGGACAATGAAGTCCAGCTTGAATTGGTCTCAGATGGAGATGAGGAACTTGTTGGGAACTGGAGCAAAGGCAACTCTTGTTATGTTTTAGCAAAGAGACTGGCAGCATTTTGTCCCTGCCCAAGAGATTTGTGGAGCTTTGAACTTGAGAGAGATGATTTAGGGTATCTGGCAGAAGAAATTTCTAAGCAGTTCAAAATGTGACTTGGGTGCTGTTAAAGGCATTCAGTTTTATGTACTCACAAAGATATGTATTGGAATTGGAACTTATGTTTAAAAGAGGAGAGCATAAAAATTTGGAAAATTTGCAGCCTGACAATGCAATAAAAAAGAAAAACCCATTTTCTAAAGAGAAGTTCAAGCTGGCTGCATAAATCTGCATAAGGAGTGAGGAGTCAAATGTTAATTGCTAAGACAATTGGGAAAATATCTCCAGGACATGTCAGAGACCTTCACAGAATCCCCTCCCATCCCAACATCCCCTCCCATCACAACTCAGAAGGCCTAGGAGATAAAAAATGATTTCCTGGGCTGGGACCAGGGCCTCAGTGCTTTGTGCAGTCTCAGGACTCGGTGCCTGCATCCCAGCCGTGGCTAAAAGGGGCCAATGTAGAGCTCAGGCCATTGCTTCACAGGGTGCAAGCCCCAAGCCTTGGTGACTTACACATGATGTTGGGCCTGCATGTGCACAGAAGACAATAATTGAGGTTTGGGAACCTCAGCCTGGATTTCAGAGGATGTATGGAAACACCTGGGTGTCCAGGGAGAGGTGTGCTGCAGGGGTGGAGCCTTCATGGAGAACCTCTGCTAGGGCAGTATAGAAGGAAAAAGTGGAGTATGAGCCCCCACACAGATTCCCCATCTGGGGACTGCATAGTGGAGCTGTGAGAAGAGGGCCACCATCCTCCAGACCTGAGGATGGTAGATCTACCTACAGCTTGCACTGTGCACCTGGAAAAGCCGCAGACACTCAACCCAGCCCATGAAAGCAGCCAGGAGGGGAGCTGTACCCTACAAAGCCAGAGGGGTGGAGCTGCCCAAGACCATGGGAACCCACCTCTTGCATGAGCTTGACCTGGATGTGAGACATGGAGTCAAAGGAGACCATTTTGGAGCTTCAAGATTTGACTGCCCTACTGGATTTTGGACTTGCATGGGTCCTGTAGCCCCTTCATTTTGGCCTACTTTTCCCATTTGAAATGGGTGTGTATAACAAATGCCTGTACCCCCATTGTATATAGGAAGTAACTAATGTGCTTTTGATTTTACAGGCTCATAGGCAAAGACACTTGCCTTGTCTCAGATGAGACTTTGACTGTGGACTTTTGAGTTAATGCTGAAATGAGTTAAGACTTTGGGGGACTCTTGGAAATGCATGATTGGTTTTGAAATGTAAGGCCATGAGATTTGGGAGGGGCCAGGAGTGGATTGATATGGTTTGGCTGTGTTCTCACCCAAATCTCATCTTGAATTGTAGCTCCAATAATTCCCACATGTCATGGGTGGGACCCAGTGGGAGGTAATTGAATCATGGGCTGATGGTTTTATAAAGGAGAGTTCCCCTCTTCTTGCCTGACACCACGTTTATGTGACTTTGTGTTCATTCACCTCCTGCCATGATTGAGGCCTACCCAGCCATGTGGAACTCTGAGTCTGTAAACCTCTTTCCTTTATAAATTACCTAGTCTTGGGTATGTCTTTATTAGCAGAGTGAGAGCTGAGAGCAGACCATACATACTCCTTGAAGAGGTCCTTCATTTCCTTTGTTAGCTGTATTCCTAGGTATTTTTTTCTCTTACTAGCAATTGTGAATGGAAGTTCATTCATGATTTGGCTCTCTGCTCATCTATTGTTGGTGTATAGGAATGCTTGTGATTTTTGCACACTGATTTTGTATCCTGAGACTTTGCCAAAGTTGCTTATCAGCTTAAGAAGGTTTTGAGCTGAGACGATGAGGTTTTCTAAAGATCATGGCATCTGCAAACAGAGAAAGTTTGACTTCCTCTCTTCCTATTTGAATACTCTTTATTCCTTTCTCTTGACTAATTGCCCCGGACACAACTTCCAATAATATGTTTGATAGGAGTAGAGAGAGAGGGCATCCTTGTCTTGTGCCAGTTTTCAAAGGGAATGCTTCCAGCTTTTGCCCATTCAGTATGATATTGCCTATGGGTTTGTTATAAGTGTCTCCTATTATTTTGAGGTATGTTCCATCAATACCTAGTTTTTTTTTTTAGAAGGAGTCTCACTCTGTCGCCCAGGCTGGAGTGCAGTGGTGCGATCTCCGCTCACTGCAAGCTCCGCCTCCTGGGTTCACGCCATTCTCCTGCCCTAGCCTCCCGAGTAGCTGGGACTACAGGCGCCCACCACCAAGGCCAGCTAATTCTTTGTATTTTTTTTAGTAGAGACAGGGTTTCACTGTGTTAGCCAGGATGGTCTCGATCTCCTAACCTTGTGATCTGCCTGCCTGGGCCTCCCAAAGTGCTGGGATTACAGGCGTGAGCCACCATGCCTGGCCAATACCTAGTTTGTTGAGAGTTTTTAACGTGAAGGTATGTTGAATTTTATTGAAGGCCTTTTATATGTCTGTTGAGATAATCATGTGTTTTTTGTCTTCAGTATGCTTACTGATTTGTATATGTTGAACCAGGCTTGCATGCCAGAAGATTAAGAAACTCACTCAAAACCACACAACTACATAGAAATTGAACAACCTACTCCTGACTGACTCCTGGGTAAATAATGAAATTAAGGCAGAAATCAAAAAGTTCTTTGAAACCAATGAGAAAAAAGAGACAATGTACCAGAATCTCTGGGATGTAGCTACAGCAGTTTTAAGAGGGAAATTTATAGCACTAAATTCCCACATCAAAAAGCTATGAGGATCTCAAATCAACACCCTAACATTGCAACTAAAAACTAGAGAACCAAGAGCAATCAAACCCCAAAGTTATCAGAAGACAAGAAATAACCAAGATCGGAGAGGAACTGAAGGAGATAGAGACATTTAAAAATACCCTTTACAATATCAATAAATCCAGGAGTTGGTTTTCAGAAAAAAATAATTAAATAGATAGACTGCTGGCTAGACTAATAAAGAAAAGAGAGAAGAATCAAATAGACACAATAAAAAATGATAAAGGGATATCGCCACTGATCCCACAGAAATACAAGCAACCATCAGAGAATACTATAATCACCTCTATGCAAATAAACTAGAAAATATAGAATAAATGGATAAATTCCTGGACACATACATCTTCCCAAGGCTGAACAAGGGAGAAGTTGAATCCCTGAATAGACCAATAACAAGTTCTAAAATTGAGGCAGTAATAAACAGCCTACCCACTAAAGAAAGACTAGAACTAGATATATTTACAGGTGAATTCTACCAGAGGTACAAAGAGGAGCTGGTATTATTTTTTCTGAAACTATTCCAAACAGTTGAAAAGGAAGGACTTCACTCTAACTCATTTTATGAAGCCAGCACATCCTGATACAAAAACCTGGCAGAGATACAGCAAAAATAGAAAACTTCAGGCCAATATCCCTGATGAACATTGATGCAAAAATCCTCAATAAAATATGGCAAACCGAATCCAGCAGCACATCAAAAAGCTTATCTACCACAGTCTAAGTTATTTAAGTTATTTAAATTGCACTTTGAGACAAGATTATACTTTCTACCCCTATAGTAAACAAGTTGGCTAGCAACTAGTCTCATCTTTTATGTTTTACCACGGCAAACTTCTTCTTTTTTTTTTTTTTTTTTTTTTTTGAGACACAGTCTTGCCCTGCCACCCCAACTGGAGTGCAGTGGCATGATCTCAGCTCACTGCAACCTCTGCCTCCCGAGTTCAAGCAATTCTCCTGCCTCAGCGTCTCAAGTAGCTGGGATTACAGGTGCATGCCGCCATGCCCAGCAAATTTTTGTATTTTTAGTCGAGACGGGGTTTCACTATGTTGGCCAGGCTGATCTTGAACTCCTGACCTCATGATCTGCCCACCTCAGCCTCCCAAAGTGCTGGGATTACAGGCGTGAGCCAGTGTGCCCGGCCACCACAGCAAACATCTTACAAGTTTGTTCTTCATGATAAAGCAAAGACAGAATTTGGAATTGAGTGTTTTAGAGCTAGTGCTGCTAGAGAATTTTCCTTTTTAATATGGAGGGGATTTGTGGGCAATGGTGACATATGTACATAGAAAAAAACAACACAATGCTATAATTATGAAACTTTTCAGAGAATCTTTAGTATTCAGTGTGAAACAGTGTCAGGTACTACAACAGATGAGATTAAAAGAGAAAAAAATTCTTTCTGCCATCAAGTATCTTAGCAACTAGTAAGGGCAATAAGAGAGTAACTTTTACAATACACAGCAGTTCATCACTGGCCTCTTAAGAGAGCTATAAGTTGCATAGTATTTAGATACAAAAGAGGGACCATAGTGAGCAGAGGGTCAGAAAAGGCTTCCTAAAAGTTATAATTTTTAGAATACAATCAAGATTTCATTAACAAATTCAGAATTCCTTGGGAAATTAAAAATTAAATTGGAACCGTAAAGTGTTGTTTTGATTTTATAGATTAAATATAAAATGTGTGTTTTAGTCCCCTTGTATAAAAAATATATAAACTTCTCTAAAACCACATTGGTTGTGATCCTTGGTCTATCATTTTCACCCTGAATTTAAGCTAAAACCAATTAAATTTTAATCTGAAAGGAAAAGAAGAAAAAAGAAAACTAGCATTTATTGATTGCCACTGGCCTGACATAACCATTTTGTATATTTTATTCATTAATTCTCACAAAAATCCATCAGGTTGGTAGATATTATTTCCCTCTATTTTATAAGTTTAAATGTGTCTCAAAAGTGTTAAATGTCTTTCTCCAATTTGCAAAACTAAGTGGCTTTGGAGATTTGGAGACCCAAGTCTATCTGTTTCCTACTCACACATTATTTTCCGCTCCTGCTTCCTAAAAAGAAAAGAAAAAAAAACAAGGTTTGTATTTAGAAAAAGGATGCAGTCTCATTGTCATTTGGCTCAGCTTACCTATGTGCATTCACAGTAATAATAAAATATTGTTTCCAAATCTGAATAATATAAGAAGGTATTTGTTAACTCATTAGTTGTTATAATGTAATTGTTATAATGATGTCTTTAATAAAGAATGACTCATAGGAAAGGCCTCCAACTACATACTTCACTCCTTCCTCTGAGAGCATCAGATTGCGCCAGATCAATATTTGCAATATCATACTGTTATTTCTGAGAATCAATAGTAAATTGAAAAAAAAAAAACGTAATCAGGCTACAGATCACCATGTCTTCAATGCTGTTGAAGACTACATTTCTCTTCCCTATCACACCATTCTCTCACTCTAATTACAAACCTCCATATATTTAATTAAAAGTAAATTGGTTGAAGAAATGAGAAAAATACTGGGTCTGAAACCCTTCTAGGTTTCCATCCAAGACCATGATAGTTTTGTGGGTTTGTTTAATGTGTTTAAAAGCTTTTCCTGTTGAATTCATGTTATTAAGGGGTGGTAGTAGTAGTTGTTTTATAGCACACATCACAAATCAAGTTAAAAATTTTAAATGCAATTAATACCTTCATAAGTTAGAGCATCTTCAGAGTTTTCTATCACAAAGTTTTGTTTACAGGCTATTCAGTCACCAATAATCACATTTTAGCAATATACCACTTTCTTAGGGTACTTAACAAAATCTTTATCTCTAAAATGCTTATAGTCTAATAAAACCTTCAACCATGATTTCTCAATTGTAATAAAAGTAGAAAACAAAGAGAATTTATCATTTCTCAGTCATCAAAAAGCAAGCCTTTAGATAAAGAAGACATTTATATCTTCATTTCTATTCACTATGTGTAATCTTCAGCAATATTTTAAACAACAGATATACAAACAAAATATATCTAAATGTAAAGCCAACATCCAGAGATGAGTTCCTTATCTTTTGCCTACCTCAATTCACCCTTAAAACTTACCCTGTTATGAATCCTTCCTCAATTTGAATCCTTTCTTTTCAGTAGAGAAATTTGTCACATTCCTTTTCTGCCTTTTTCTGTTGCAAGGGTCTTTTAAGGCTGAATTAATCCAATGGCTAAACTGTAGAAAAGAAAAAGGAAAGTATACTTTGTTTTCTTTTTCTTGGGAGCATGATCTCATGGTTTTATTTAAAATATTGTAGCAATATTTAGGATGCTGATAGACACTTTTAGAAATAAAGTAAGAGTAATTAATTTGACAGCAAAACTAGGAAAACCAGAGGCTGCCCTCCCAGCCTTCTACTTTTTGCTGCCACTTACAGTTTAAGTTTAAGTCATCCAAGTTACTTGGCTAAGGATTGAATTAACTAGCATGATTCCCTGAGTGCAGGCACAGCCCTTTTTTCGCATCCCAAGCCCCAGTGTGGCAAGAGGTGTTTGTTTGTTTGTTTGTTTGTTTTTCCCTCATGTTTGATGGCCCACCACAAAAGCTCACTCAGTCATGAAGCTAAAATAAAGAAATTGTCAAAAGTTCAGAATCCTGAAATTTTAGTAATCGTTGTGAAGATGTATGTCAGTTAACGCTTTATCATTTTTAAATTGCTTTTGATCACAGTCATTTGATCCTTACCACAATCCCGTGAAGGTGGTCAAGCAGATATTATTATTTACCATTTTATAGATGAGAATATAGAGAATGAGGTGGAGTGACTCAACTACGGTCAAAGAAAAAGAACCCCTCCTGGAGTAGAATTCACATTCTTGGATCATTGCACAGTGATATGTTCCTTCAGCTTGCAATGTTATAGGCAGTAAAATGATTGTTATCTCATAATGCATAAAAATTGCACTGGAGGCAAAACCAGTCTCCAGTTATGATTGTCACTGGAGATTCTTGAGAGAATATTGCCATGAATAAGAGTAAGAGACACTGAACCAGTAAAGATCATATTCATTCTAGATCTGCCACTGCATGGCTCAGTGGATTAGGGCAAATCTCATCGACAACCCAAGATTCATCTGCTAATATTTCAGAAGCACAACCCATATGCTGAGTACCAAATATTAATAGAATTATCAGATATGGTATTTTTATTTTTATTTCTTGAGATGGAGTCTTGCTCTTGTCGCCCAGGCTGGAGTACAATGGCGCAATCTCGGCTCACTGCAACCTCCACCTCCCGGGTTCAAGCAATTCTCCAGCCTCAGCCTCCTGAGTAGCTGGGATCACAGCTGCCCATCACCACGTCCAGCTAACTTTTTGTATTTTTAATAGAGACGGGGTTTCACCATGTTGGCCAGGCTGGTCTCGAACTCCTGATCTCAGATGATCCGCCCGCCTTGGCCTCCCAAAGTGCTGGGATTATAGGTGTGAACCACTGCACCTGGCCCAGATATGATATTTTTGTCCTTGCTTTTCATATGACAGGTGCTTCTGTTTCTGGGGAAAAATAGAGCGGATTTCTATTAGTGATAATAGGATATCCTTCTGCATTTAAAGAGGATGGTAGGTATGAGTGTGGTGGCTCATGCCTATAATCCCAATGTTTTGGGAAGCTGAGGCTGGAGGATTGCTTAAGCCCAGAGTTCAAGACCAGCCTAGGTAATATAGTGAGATCCCAACTCTACAAATTTTTTTTCTTAATTAACTGGGCATGGTGGAGCATGCCTGTAGTCCCAGCTACCTGGGAGGTTGAGGTGGGAGGATCACTTGAGCCCAGGAAGTTGAGGCTGCAATCAGCCATGATCACACCACTGCACTCCAGCCTGAGCCACAGAGTGAGACCTTATCTCCAATAAAAATAGAAGGGAAGATAAAGAGGATGGTAGTATACATTCCACTCACACTGAGATTTCCTAAAGGAAATTGGATTAGAAATGGACTTTGAAGAACCAGGGAAAATTTATGTGTTGTTCAATATATATTATAGACCTTTTTTTTATTTTTTAAAACTAGACTTTATTTTTTTAGAGCAGTTTTGGTTTCAGAGCAACATTAAATGGAAAATACAGAGAGTTCCCACATACTCCTCCCTGACCACATATACACAACCTTCCCACCATTAACATCCCAATCAGTGTGGTGCATTTGCTACAGTTAATGAACCAACATTGACACATCATCAACCAAAGCTCATGTTTTACATTAGGGTTCACTCTTTTTGTTATGCATTCTATATGTTTTAAGTGTAAAATAACATCCATTCAGCATTATAGTACCAGAGAATAGTTTCACTGCCCTAAGACTCCCCTGTGCTCCACCTATTCATCTCTTCCTCCTCCTAAACCCCTGGCAACCACTCATCTTTTCACTGTCTCCACAGTTTTGCCTTTTACAGAATGACATATAGTTGGAATCATATAGTATGTGCCTTTTCAAGTTTGCTTCTTTCAATTAGCAATATGCATTTAAGATTGCATCATATCTTTTTTATTATTATGATTATATTTTAAGTTCTAGGGTACATGTGCACAACATGCAGATTTGTTACATATATAAACATGTGCCATGTTGGTGCGTTGCACTCATTAACTCATCATTTACATTAGGTATATCTCCTAATGCTATCCCTCCCCCCTCCCCGCACCCCACGACAGGCCCTAGTGTGTGATGTTCCCCACCCTGTGTCCAAGTGTTCTCATTGTTCAATTCCCACCTATGAGTGAGAACATGTGGTGTTTAGTTTTCTGTCCTTGTGATAGTTTGCTCAGACTGATGGTTTCCAGCTTCATCCATGTCCCTGCAAAGGACATGAACTCATCCTTTTTTATGGCTACATAGTATTCCATGGTGTATATGTGCCACATTTTCTTAATCCAGTCTATCATTGATGGACATTTGGGTTGGTTCCTAGTCTTTGGTATTGTGAATAGTGCCACAATTAACATACATGTGCATGTGTCTATATTGCAGCATGATTTATAATCCTTTGTGTATATACCCAGTAATGTGATGGCTGGGTCAAATGGTATTTCTAGTTCTAGATCCCTGAGGAATCGCCACACTGACTTCCACAATGGTTGAACTAGTTTATAGTCACACCAACAGTGTAAAAGTGTT
Source organism: Homo sapiens (assembly GCF_000001405.40). NCBI lineage: Eukaryota > Metazoa > Chordata > Mammalia > Primates > Hominidae > Homo > Homo sapiens. The sequence goes on from NC_000007.14 coordinate 86,806,381, forward strand.
CCTATTTCTCCACATCCTCTCCAGCACCTGTTGTTTCCTGACTTTTTAATGATTGCCATTCTAACTGGTGTGAGATGGTATCTCATTGTGGTTTTGATTTGCATTTCTCTGATGGCTAGTGATGATGAGCATTTTTTCATGTGTCTGTTGGCTGCATAAATGTCTTCTTTTGAGAAGTGTCTGTTCATATCCTTCACCCACTTTTTGATGGGGTTGTTTGATTTTATTCTTGTAAATTTGTTTCTTTGTAGATTCTGGATATTAGCCCTTTGTCAGATGGGTAGATTGCAAAAATTTTCTCCCATTCTGTAGGTTGCCTGTTCACTCTGATGGTAGTTTCCTTTGCTGTGCAGAAGCTCTTTAGTTTAATTAGATCTCATTAGTCAATTTTGGCTTTTGTTGCCATTGCTTTTGATGTTTTAGTCATGAAGTCCTTGCCCATGCCTATGTCCTGAATGGTATTGCCTAGGTTTTCTTCTAGGGTTTTTATGGTTTTAGGTCTAACACTTAAGTTTTTAATCCATCTTGAATTAATTTTTGTATAAGGTTTAAGGAGGGGGTCCAGTTTCAGCTTTCTACATATGGCTAGCCAGTTTTCCCAGCACCATTTATTAAATAGGAAATCCTTTCCCCATTTCTTGTTTTTGTCAGGTTTGTCAAAGGTCAGATGGTTGTAGATGTGTGGTGTTATTTCTGAGGGTTCTGTTCTATTCCATTGGTCTATGTCTCTGTTTTGGTACCAGTATCATGCTGTTTTGGTTACTGTAGCCTTGTAGTACAGTTTGAAGTCAGGTAGCATGATGCCTCCAGCTTTGTTCTTTTTGATTAGGATTGACTGCAATGTGGGCTCTTTTTTGGTTCCATATGAACTTTAAAGTAGTTTTTTTCCAATTCTGTGAAGAAAGTCATTGGTAGCTTGATAGAGATGGCATTGAATCTATAAATTACCTTGGGCAGTATGGCCATTTTCACGATATTGATTCTTCCTATCCATGAGCATGGAATGTTCTTCCATTTGTTTGTGTCCTCTTTTATTTTGTTGAGCAGTGGTTTGTAGTTCTCGTTGAAGAGGTCCTTCACATCCCTTATAAGTTGGATTCCTAAGTATTTTATTCTCTTTGAAGCAATTGTGAATGGGAGTTCACTCATGATTTGGCTCTCTGTTTGTCTGTTATTGGTGTATAGGAATGCTTGTGATTTTTGCACATTGATTTTTTATCCTGAGGCTTTGCTGAAGTTGCTTATCAGCTTAAGGGGATTTTGGGCTGAGATGATGGGGTTTTCTAAATATACAATCATGTCATCTGCAAACAGGGACAATTTGACTTCCTCTTTTCCTAATTGAGTACCCTTTATTTCTTTCTCTCGCCTGATTGCCCTGGCCAGAACTTCCAACACTATGTTGAATACGAGTGGTGAGAGAGGGCATCCCTGTCTTGTGCCAGTTTTCAAAAGGAATGCTTCCAGTTTTTGCCATTCAGTACGATATTGGCTATGGGTTTGTCATAAATAGCTCTTATTATTTTGAGATAAGTCCCATCAATACCTAGTTTATTGAGAGTTTTTAGCATGAAGGGCTGTTGAATTTTGTTGAAGGCCTTTTCTGAATCTATTGAGATAGTTATGTGGTTTTTGTCTTTGGTTCTGTTTATATGATGGATTACATTTATTGATTTGTGTATGTTGAACCAGCCTTGCATCCCAGGGATGAAACCAACCTTATCCTGGTGGATAAGCTTTTTGATGTGCTGCTGGATTCATTTTGCCAGTATTTTATTGAGGATTTTCGCATCGATGTTCATCAGGGATATTGGTCTAAAATTCTCTTTTTTTTGCTGTGTCTCTGCCAGGCATTGGTATCAGGATGATGCTGGCCTCATAAAATGAGTTAGGGAGGATTCCCTCTTTTTCTATTGATTGGAATAGTTTCAGAAGAAATTGTACCAGCTCCTCTTTGTACCTCTGGTAGAATTCAGCTGTGAATCCGTCTGGTCCTGGACTTTTTTTTGGTTGGATATTGCAGACCTTTTTACATAAGTCCCAGCCTTAGACTCTGGAAATTAAGAAGCGAAACCTAGCAATGGCCCCACCCTCTTCTGTAGCTTTTTTTTTCCCCCACAAATAAGCTAGTACAGATATAGAATGCCACATGCTGATCCATACCATGAAGAAAAATATAGCACGCCAAGTGGAATAAGGCATCCCAGGTAGAGGGGTGTCTGTGTGTGTTTGTGTTTGTATGTGTGTGTGTTAGAATTGGGGTGGAGGGGGTAGAAGTTTAATGTTTTATATAATGTAATCAAAAGAAACCTCACTGACAGTTTGAGCCAGAGGTCAAATGAGCAGAGACCTGAAGAGGTGAGGGAGCAACCCATGAGGAAATATGGGGGAGAGCTTCACAGCAAGGAATAACAAGGCATAAGGTGTGAGCCACCTGTTTAATATGTTTAAGGGGAAGCAAAGAGACCAGTGTGGCTAGATGGAGTTAGCGTGGAAGAGACAGAAGAAATAAGGTCAGAGAAGTGGTGAGAGCCTTGTAAGGATTTTGGACTTTACTCTGAGTGAAATTGGAAGCATTGAGAAACTCTGAGAAGTGACAGGAACAATATCAAAGATTTCAAATAGGGAACATTTTTAAATTATGATTATATATCAGAAAAAGCTAATAAAGAAACCTAAAGAGACTTATCAATGTTGACATTCTAATACATATCTTCTATAAACACTGAGGATTCCCCCGCCATTTAAATTTTCAGAGAAAATAACATGTTTTAAAGTCTCCAAGCCATTCAACTAGAACGAGAATCAATTCTCTATTATACAATCCAAATTAAGCACAGTTAAAGTTACTTCTCATGTTAAATTGTAATTTTTATATTCAAGACTCAACTAAACTCAAATACAGTACTTACCAAAATAATAAAGTGTTTCTACAGAAATCTGTATACTTCCTATCCAGACTTCCCATCATACAATTGTGGATCATGTTTTAAAAATTCACAGAGGGATATTTGCTGAGCCCTGAATGTCATGGTGATAATAGGATATTATTCTCTGTGTAAATCTACCTTCCTCACAGCAAAATGTCTCTAATCTAATTGTGTGACTTCAGGCAATCCTCGGGTTGCTCTAGCCTCTTGCACATCCTGTTCATAATAGGGATAGCAAGGTGGCCTACTTCTTTCCCCGTAATAATTTATTATTAATGATAGGACCATCATGAAACATTGTGGGCTTCATTGATGAATGTGTTATGTCATTTCACAACAATTATTGAAGCATCATTCTTATGTCAGACATTGGGAAGAGTACAAAGGAAAAGTTTGTTGAGGAGACTACCCTCCAACAAGCGCTAGTCTCCTGGGAAAGGCAAGCGTGTATTTTGAAAGGTAACATGATGCAGAATGCATTACGAGCTGTCACAGGAGTATTAGGGCAATAAAATTATCTGTTTGGTACTTTAGATTTAAAAAGAAAAAATTCTTTCACATACAGCATCTCATTTAATATTTACACCATTCCCAAACAAACAATGCTTCTTAAACATACTCAAAGGGAATGTAAATTTCAACTAACGATTAAGGAAAGAACAGGAGTAGCTCAAGGAAGACCTCATGACAAGAACATGAAGGATAAATTATTTTAAAATCGGATGAATATTTGCATAAGTGTAAAATGTAGTAAACTCTAATGATCCTCAAAACTAGCACTGTTGCCTTTTCACCCGAAGGTGGGATCTCCTGCTCTTTGGTTTGTGATGACCTTAAATCGTCTTTATTCCTAAAGAAAACCACATAAATTCTATCCCAGGATGGTTTACTCAATCTCATTCTTTGTCAAAAGGTCAAGAAAATAGAAACTTTCGTTCAATATTGTCAAAGAAAGAAAATACTGAAATCCATTATACAGTTGTGGTCATCCTTAATATTTAGGAACATAGCAAGCACAAACTTTTTAAGAATAACATGGATATGATATTAAATGAAAAGATGACATTCTGCTAGAAATTCATGAATAGTTACTGCTTTTATTCTGAAAAAAAATGTTGATATACCTCATGTCATCGGGAGTTTTATACTTTCGTTCCACTTCACTGAAAATAACAAGGTAATCTTATGTGGTTCCTCCAAATTGGAAACCACTTCACATAATATATTGACCAAAAACATTCCCTCTATAAGTTTAAAACTGTCTTCTTTCTTGAAGACAATCTTTGCTTAATGGCTTTGCATAGAGGTAACTCCAATTCAAGGTAACTTGCATGCAGCCCAAGTATTGCAATATAAATAAAATACACTGGACAGAGAATCAGGAGATGTGAGGTCTGCCCCAAATGGTTGTATTGACTAGCAAGTCACTCCTGTTATTTAGGTCTCAGTTATGCCATCTATCAAATGAAAGAATATTTCTTAAAAAGACTTTTGTTTTTTCTTGAAAATTTGTGTTTAAAACACTCATTTGTGATAGACATATCTACATACACACATTGCATACAAATATACCCAATAAAATAAATTCCCATATTTTTTCACTAAATCACCATGGATCATTTTTCCTACTTCATCAAAATTTCATCTAGTCAATAATGTTTCTTGACCTGGGGGACCATTTTTAATTGACACTGGCCAAAGTGTCATTTTTCCTGTTTGTTTGAAGCTCATAATAAAATTTCCCAAAACATCAATTTTCATGTGGATTTCTCCATAAGAGAAACATCAGGTAAAAAGTAGGGAAGGCAGAGCAGGAACTGAAAGCAACTCATGTGAACCATAAATTTTTGTTTACAGCACATGAGGTATCATCCAATTGCTTCATAAGCCATCATTAGAGTAAAAGTTGAAGATAAGGAACAACAATAAAGTTTTGCTGAAGGGCTGGAAAAAACATTTAGCTTTATTTCTTTTCACATTTTTTTTTCAGATTGCTAATATAAAGAGTCAACTTTTGAACCTTAAGCCATTTTTAGACCAGCCCTAAAAGAAGCAATAACAACAACTAAATCACTTCATGGACCATTTTGTTTTTCTCCATCCTAGGTGTATGATTTTCCTTTCCTGCAATGTTTCCACTCACCAGGAAGTATCATCTCTAGGAGGACCATTCAGCATAGATGAATAGAGATGCAGCAGCTTAGATGACACTATTTTACCCACCATCAATGACAAATATTCCCCAAACCCTAAACTGTGCCCTTGTTGTAACCTCACATCCATCTGACCCCATACGCTGAGAGGCTTTCAAAGAGCTCATTGGATGCAATATTTGGGCAAAATTGAAAGGAATCTTAGAGATTACTTAGTCAAAGCTTGAAATCTATTTTTTAAAGTAACGTAACAATTTCTTAAACAACATTATATTAAGAATTAAAATATTTAAATCTGATAAAAGTGGAGTCGCTTTGATTGAATTCAGATGTGGAAAACCTTGATAATCATCTGTATAATCCTCTTTTTCTTCTCTTCCCCTTCCTCAACCTATTGTACTCATTTGTTAAATGAGAAAGCTAGTGTGATATTTCTATCCATGTAATAGAAAGTTTATATAATAGATTTATAATTATCTGTTGATATATAGCTTATAATTTCTATATAATAGAAATTATATAATAAGTTTCTGTACTTACAGACTGTACACTCAGTAATGATAAAGAACAAAAATTCTACCCACTCTACTGAACCAAATGAGGGTATGAGCAATTGTCTGTAGTCACGGCATTCACAACCATTGCAGTTTATTAGTTTGAAATGTTTTTATGAAAATTATGTACCCCATTATGAGAGGTAAAAGTAATGAGACTGTTAAAACTGCAAGTAGGAAAATACATATGACTATCAGAGAAAAGAGATGTGAAATAATTGTAAGTGCTGAGAGAAGTGATGAATTTTGCAATGCATATATTAGATTAAGTTTTGGAGAGCTTAGTTAATTCTCAAGGCAAGGCAAGGGATTGCCTGATACAGTGTGGGACAGGCCTATGAAATTGTACAGATGTGCTTGTGCATTAAGAGACAAGAAAAGCAACTGAAAAAAAGGGAGAAACTTTAGAGTATGTGGCTACAGAATCAGTATTAGTTCTGACGCCTGTTAACCAGGTGTTAATTCCAAAAAAAGGTTAGGATTAACGTTAAGAATTTAAAATCTACTCTCAGTAAAAATATTACTCCTGAGACTTTTGTTCCAAGCCACTGATGATCCATTGGTTTCAAAGCCCATTAGAATCTGAACACAATTAAAGTGAGCATCCAGGTTGTGAAGGAGAATATAACTGCTGAGAAATTCCTCACAGCATTTGCCGGGCATATCAAAGGTAATTGCATCTCAGCAGATATTTGTTGTGGAAAAATTGGTCTATTTGGGGAGAAAATAATATTCTCATTTTACCACTTTATGTTTTTAGTGGAAATGATAGGATTGTTGGCACAAACTCCTCTCAGTCTCTTAGGACTTAGGAGCAAAGGGATATATGAATAGCTTTTTAGAGGCCAGTTCATTCATATCTAGAGACCCAGTTTGCTCTATGTAATGAACAACTAAACTTCTCAGTAACACCACAAGTTTCTTATCATGAATGAGTTGGCCTATTTGGAGGGCACTACACTTAAATTTTTATTTTCCTTTAGAGATATAATATGATTGAGAGAATGATGTCTAGTCACAGTGCCCCTCATTATCATCAGAACTTCTAGAGTTATTTCAGAGTTCCAATATTGTTTTTAATCTTCTAATTTAAAAGTACAACATAAAAATAAATTGTATTGTGTTTCAAGTAATAAAATCTATACCCATCAGCTAAATGCGCAAAATTCTCCCTGTAAAGCTAATTAACTAGATAAAAGGTTCATATCAGCCTTTTAGCAGTTCCTGTCTCTAAGGGCCTAACTCAGTAATTAATTATGTTTCTGGGAGTCTCTGAAAACACTTTTCCAGCTTCATGGGTCTTTAGAAATGAAGCATCTTGCACATCATCCAAAATATCTTAATCTCTCAATCTGTTTAGAGTCCAGTCAAGTTCCTACAAGGAGCAGAGTTAAATGTCCTTGGAATGAAGCCTGTGTATTCTCATCACTTAAGCAGTCATTTACCTCAGGATACAGAGAACAGCAGTTGAATTTTTAATCAACTTTTATTTTTAAAGCGTTATTAACATTAGCCTGATCATCTGAGTTCACCTTAGCATGCTAGCTTGGTTGAAATCAGAGAAAGTAATGAAGTATGAGTTAAGCACTGAAGGAAGTTTACAGGAAAAATGTATAATACTACACAGATGTGTTGTTTAACAGGCCACACATTGGTTCCTATTAATGTTCCAGATGTTAGCTAAGAGGTGTATGGATATGTCATGGTGGCCAGAACTCTTGGGCATCATCACCTGCTATACGATCATGTTAATTTTATTCCTCTCTTAAGGAAAATACCTTGGCAATTTAAGACCTCCCAAGAGAGGTGACATTTTACCAGCTAGAACCCTAATTGAACAAGACTTGCTGAGAGCAAGAACCTAAAGGATGCATGCAGAGACAGGGTATAGAGGAATTGGCACCCAGGAGAAAAGGCTAAGATCATCTTTCCCACTAAATCATTTGGCTAGCTTCCTACCTGGAGCTTATCCTCTAACCCCCAATTTTCCAGACTAGACAGCTTTTTAAAAAGTCCTTGAAGGAAAGTAGACTATAAATCATCTATAAGCACGATCAGAAGATGTACAGAGAAGACACCGATTCTTCATAAGCCTATGCCTTAGAGTTAGCACCCCCAATTTAATGGCTCTGTTGCGGTCACAGTCTGAATGTACTCACCTCCTGTATATGCAGTCTCCAGTGATGGATTTGAAAATCCTTCAAGCTATTCTTTTTTCTTTAATTTTATTTTTCCATAAGTTATTGGGGTACCGGTGGTATTTGGTAAGTTCTTTAGTGGAGATCTGTGAGAACCTGGTACACCCAACACTCCAGCAGTAGACACTGCACCATATTTGTTGTCTTTTATCTCTCGCCCTCTCCCACTCTTCCTCCCAAGTCCCCAGAGTCCAGTGTATCATTCTTATGCCTTTGCATCCTCATAGCTTAGCTCCCATATATCAATGAGAACTAAAAACCAAGGGTAACATAAACTTCAAAAAAAGACTACTAGAGGATGTGGTAGACAATATCAGAAGAAATACACTCTCTTGAAGATATAAAGCTAACTGCCATGGACTTTTTTAAATGAGGCTTTCTTCACTTTTTCTTGGAATTTTATAGTGTCACTCTAACAAAGCTGAAGAGGGTCGAAATTGTTAATTACACATTTTCTTTAATTACAGGCTCCTTTGCTATATTTACCAAATAGCTAGTAGCCCTGAGGGTGGAGTTAGGCTCTTTAAAGTCATGTTTTAATCTCTTTATAATTGCAATTTGATTGCTGGTGTAAATTATCTAGTAGGCTTGCCACTTTCAGCGCCAGTCATTTCCCAGAGTGCATAATTTTGAATTAAAAGGCTGATATCCATCCAAAAGTTTCCCAGAATGTTTCATGGGCTCAGTGAATTATGCATTAAACAGAATTCTTTAAAAAGAAGGCAAGAAGTTTCTTTGATGTCAGCTGGGTTTTTCATCATATTATGGACTATTAATTTCTAGACTCTTTTAACGGTAGTTTCTTGAAATCTATGTTCAATTTAGGACTTATTACTGATCTTTCTCTAACCTTTATATTTTATTTTAACAGCATCATATGTCACCCTGAACATGGCAGGTTCTGGCAGAAACCTGGTGGTTAATTTCTTAGGGGGAAAAGGAGGGGGAACGGGAAAAAGAACAATTTGCGTCAAATGCACCATCTGCTGGACAGAACACGTATCTACTTACAGGAGCTTGCCTTCACATTAGGAAAATGCTTTAGAAACCTCATGAGGACAAAACCAATGAAAGGGCTGAGATACACATATGGAAGCTCATCTATGGATACCTCTACATCATATTCAAATGCCAATGTCCCCCTTTGATGATTTTGTCAAGCCATGAAAGAGATAACCTTTGACTGGTATGTTTGATTTTGAGCTATGTTCCCTTTGCAAATGTAACCCTATAGATTGTTAAGGAAATAAATACCATTCCCCCAACTTATACAAAAGAAAGTAAGGGTAGTCAAGTTTCTACCATCATATGCAAATACAAATTCTGGGGAAATTATTTACATTATACACAATTTCATATTACTATTCTCCTTTTATATTTTCAGTACACAAAGCACTTCGAAATTAGTCACAGGCTGTGTTTTACTACACCCTTATAGATTAAGTGAACATATACTTTATCATCCAACCCAGCCACTTATGAGAGTGAAAAGAAGCACTATGAATAACTATGCCAGAACATGCACAGACTAGTATTTTCTTGGGCAAACCAGACTTTATCCTGTCTCCTTGTTTTATGTCTCTTTATTTATAGGTAATCAAATATCAGAAACAGAAATCATCTCTTAGTCTATCCTACTGCCAACTCATGTTACAGAAGAACAAACATAAAAAGATGAAATGATTCAGTGTAGTAGAAAGATTCCAGACTGGGGCAGTGAGGAGTAAGATGTGGTTTTCATTGCAAATATGCTCAGCATTGAGATTATTTGACTCTATTATTCGTATAATAATTCATTCATGGTTAAGTACCATAAGAATGGCCAGGTAAAGTTTCATGAGTACCTGGAAGGTATAAGTCATTCTAGCTAAAAGAATACATTGTTTCATGGAGAAGGTGGCCTCTGAATTAAGCATTGACAGAGAGGTAGCATTTGCAGAGTAGGCACTCCAGCCAAGGCAGAAGCATTCAGAAATTAAATGGGTAAACAAAGAAAAATATAGTGCTTCCCCATCCAGTGGCTATTATTGCCTTTCAACAAACATTCCTTGAAGCTTACTAAGCGACAAGCACTTTTTTTTTAACCTTTATTTTAGGTTCAAGGGTACATGTGCAGATTTATTACATAGGTAAATTGCATGTCACAGGGATTTGGCATACAGATTATTTCATCACCCAGGTAATAAGCATAGTACTCAATAGGTAGTTTTTTGATCCTCTTCCTCCTCCCAGCATCCACCCTCAAGTAGGCCCAGTACCTGTTGTTTTCTTCTTTGTGTTCTATATGTACTCAATGTTTAGCTCCCACTTGCAAGTGAGAACATGCATATTTGGTTTTCTGTTTCTGCAGCAGTTTGCTTAGCATAATTGCCTCCACCTCCATCCATATTACTGCAAAGGATATGATCTCGTTCCTTTTTATGACTGTGTAGTATTCCATTATGTATATGTACCACATTTTCTTTATCCAGTCTACTGTTGATGGGCATTTTGGTTGATTCCATGTCTTTGCTGTTGTGAATAGTGCTGCGATGAACATATGCTTGCATGTGCCTTTATGCTACTCCAGACATCAATTCCTACCTTCAAGAATTTACAGCCTAATAAGCAGTAAGATTTACGAGTCTGTATTTGAAAGGCCATTTCTGAATTAGAGATAAGTGTGGGAATTAGCAGTGTATTTAAACTGACAGGAAATAGATTAAGATCATTCAGGGAAAAGATGAAGAAAGAGAAAAAGGCACAGAACAGAACCCTGAGGTTCTCCATATTTAGAAGTAAGAGCAAGAAATTCTCAGCCAAGGAAACTGAAAAAAACAGTTGGTATGGTAAGAGTAAAATGAAAAGAAAAATAATCTTGTTATTTTCTCCGATTTGGGAATATGGGCAGAGCTTAGGGGAAATGAAGCTTGTCAAGGTGTAGATCAGATTTAACTTTAAGCTTCTTCATTATCCAATAATTATCACAATAATTTAAAAATTATAAATAGCTTTCTCCAAGAAACCTTAAATGCTTTACATGTCCCTTCTAATGTTATCTCCCTAGAATTGTTATTAAATTATAAAATGATACATTATTGAAAGTTAAGCAAAAACACCATTATCATCTCTGCTGTATTCAGTTTTAGATTTCCTGTAGGGAAATACTCAGTTCTCCCTTTTCACTTCAATGAGGCGGATCAAAGCCGAGCTACAATTCCAATCTTATTTATGAATATAAAATTAACTCAAAATATAGCTCATTTTCTCCAGTTACATCCTATATAGGGTACTCTGTTTTGTTGTCCATTATTTTTTAAATGAATGCTATTCAATGAGCTGTTTAGGGCTAGCTTTTGATCATTTTTCATGTTAACTATTATGGAAAATTTAAAGTACAACTAAGGCTGAAGGTCAGTGCAAAGAAGAGAAAATATTTCTCAGATTTTCTGAGGCTTGTCAAGTCTCAGCTGTCATCTGGTTGGGTTTTGGAACTCATTTATCCTTGCAGTAATATTAAAGCACATACTACATGTGAGGCCCTATACCTTCTAGCCTACATTAAAGCTAGAAAGGTTTCAGCTCTGCCTTCATGGAAGTTACAATCTGTTAGAGAATGCACATGAGTAAATGAAATTATCAATACAACACCACTAAATCTATCCAGAAGCAACTTATACCACAAAAGCAACTACCTGAGGTGCAATCTAGAGGCAGAAAGAGAATTTGAATCTACTGCAGTAGATCAATGCAATACATGCACACACACATGCACACATATATACAACATACGCTGAGCCTACCTCCTTAGACATTATCTTATGTTGCAGACCAGAGCATTCCTTCTTGTCTGGATCACTGCTTTGTGTGGTAACAAGAAAAATGAATTCCTTCTCAAACGATCCATCTATAGAAATCCTCACATCACACTGCGTTCATCTATTTTGCCTGAAAGACCAGCTCTGCTTGTCATTGCTAGTTGTTCATTCATAATGCAATTAGTAATATGCTTAGTATGTGCCTCTTATTGTGCTATATATTGATGATAAATAAAACATGGTCTCTACCTTCAAGCCAACTAAATCAACATGTGATAATGACTATAGTACATGAACTCACTTAGGGCCTACTGAAGTACCAGGAACAAATACATAAATTAGACTGGGGATCTAAGAATTGGAGTAAGGTAGAATAGAACACACCATAGTTAAGAACACAAGTGCTGGAGTCATGTAGACCTGAGTTTGATTCTGAGACTTTCACTTACTAGTCACATGGCTCCACCTTTTCTATGCTCAGTTTTCCCATCTGTAAAATATCAGTAAGAACCCATTTCATTGGGTTAAGCTAAATGAGATGATGTATGTAAAGCACAAGCACTGATACATAGTAGGTACTCAAGTAGATGCATATGCAGCAATAATCATACATATACCTTATGATTTATTCCTTATGTGATTAGAAGGAACAATTGGGAAAGTATCCAGTAGACTAAAGATATTATTAAGTAAAAAATAAAAGTGCATATATACCAAATGTGTCAATACCCAGCAGATACCTATAGTCTTAGTTACTTCCTAGCAAAATTCCCCAAATTCCCAAAATTCAAGAAAGTAAATACAACAATTAGCAAGGGAAGAGAAATATCTGATCCAACAATGCCACACGATGTGGGCCAATTTCCTGGACATGCAGATGTACGCTGTTGACCTTAAACTTCTTTTCTGGGTTCCAAATTTCAACCTCCCTCATCAGATCTCTAATCAGAAGTGGGCAGAGAGGCCTCATATCTTTTCCAGTTGTCAAACAGTGAACCTCTAACTTCCATCTCAGACATCTTTATTGTAAGATGAATTCGCTTGTAAAATGTATCCCCACGGAGTCCTGACAGCTCCAACTACTTCACTTGAAAGAGTACTTCCCTTTATACTGCAATTATCACAGCCAGAGATGCTTGAAGCCATTTGCTGAATTCATAGGATGAAAATAAAAAAGAAAGAAATAACCAACATTGTTTGTATGTCTTTGTGTGTGTGTGGTAAGCCATAAATCTATGGAAAGCAATAGTTTTTCACCTTTCTCCTTAATTCTGCAACAAAGTTTTTGCAAATTCCTTCCTTCTCAAATCACACATTATCAAGGAAAGCTTTGAAAAAAAGGATTTTACATTTATTCCAATTGATGTCCTAAAACTGTTATTGCTTGTGCTTGTACTTCAAATGAGTTGCCATATAATGCATTCAATAAGGACAATCATAACTAAAGCCAACAAAAGAAGTGCTCCAAAGACAATTTTGAAACTGTTTGAAGAAAGGTACTGAAAACTGGCCACTGTAGCAGCAACAATCAGAGATGGAGAGCCCGAGTTGAAACTAATGCCATGCTGCCCAGCAGGCCTAGGGGGACAAGCACATCACAATGGCTATGATCAGCAACCAAAGAATGGACTCGTGTCAAAACTGCAATTTCTGCAGTGCAGTTTCTCAGGGGCATTTGATTCAAGATGTATGATGTTCTAATCCATGAATGCCAGAATCACAAACCATCTCCTTCTCCTTCAAAACTTGTCCTTCCCTAGTCCTAAATGGGAAAACAGTTGCTACAGTGAAAATAGTCAAAAATTCTCTTTCCATTTTACAGAAGGTACTGTGAGATCAAAATAAAATGAGAATAGAAGTTGGATATGTAAGGTTGGTGTCTGCCAAATTCTAGGTGAACCTAGGTATGGGGAAGACTCCGTGCTACCCTCGAATATATCCTTTCTACCTTTCCAAAAAGCTTCTGTTCCCAGATGGCCACATTGAATTCCACTAACTAGAACAAAGCTTTCATTTTTGATGGTATGAATTCAGACTTTTACAAATTGAACCCATACTTGACCTCTTACAGTGATTTAAGTTTATACTCTGGTCTCTATAATCAATTATCACACTGTAGTTTGTGGGCAGCTTTTGATGTAGAGAAGGCATCTGGCTCATAGCATATAGAAAGGATGTCAATATTGTGGAAAAGGAGACTGGATATTCGAAAACCAAATATCGAATGGTTTTGCCTAGAAATAGCTGTGAGTGTGTCTTTTCATGGTTGGAATAGCCCATACTTGCATTTACAACAGACAGGGTGCACTCTTTGACTTCCATCAGGATCTTGGATCACAGTGCTTGGGTAGAGAGGTGAGAGGACATTACTGTTACCTCTAGGTCATTATTTTTAAAGAGATAATAGAACTGAGTACCTTAGCTTATTTCAAATAAATGCAGCAGGTAGTACATATTGAGTACCTTATATAAGTGGACAATTTACTTCACTTACAAATGTTTTTCAGTTTTCTGATGAAAGCTTTGTAGTATTAACCCCAAAGGTACTGGGTCCCTTTAGAGTGTTATGATAATATTTATAGCACAATGTATTATATCTTTATAAAAATGGCATTAACTTAGAATATCAGCTGATATTTAGGGAGGCTCCTTGCCTTCAGTCTCATATTAATCATTCCTCCAGCACACATTTATTAAATGCTAGGCATTAGAGTTAAAATTAACAACACAAAATCCCTGCTATCAAAAATCTTTTATGTTCCCTGAGAGGAAAAAAAACAGGAATAGAAAAGCATGTTCAAGCTTCTTGAGACTGGCAACAAAGTAAATGCTTCCAGCCTCCCAGGCTCTTCCCCTTCAACGTCACCCAGTGCCCATCTTCCAGCAGAGATGACCCCCAAGGTGGAGAAATGCAAAGTCACAGGTTCTTTCTTTCTTACTTCAAAGCCAAAAATATGTCCTGCAGACAAATTCCAATACTTCTTCACTACTTGTAGCTTTTTACTTGTGTGTATGTTTTGACACACCCCTGTAGCAGAGGTAATAGTCACGCAAAACTTGGGGGTGGGGTGGGGCTCAGTTAATTCACAAATGACTTGCAAAAGTTATAAGGGGACAATATTGCAGATAATGTGCTCCATGGAAAAAGGCTGAATAAAGGGTTTTTTTTAACTAGAAAGAGAAAGATTATGTCATAAACATGTAGTTTAATTTTACTTAGTCTAATTTAGGTAAATGAAGTCTGCAATATAAAGAACTGCTATAGCTCATATAATTCTGTGAACAGACCTACACCATTAACTAAAGCTCAGAAAACCAGCTGACTAACAGCACAGTGGTTACACAGTGGTGGAAACAGAGTCACTCACTCACTCATTTATTAACTCTTTCATTCAATAAACGTTTATTGAATACCCGATAGATGGCAGGTACTCTAGCAGTCAAGCTAAGAGTTATCAAACACTTTCTACATATTAGACACTGGACTAATCACTTTTAATTTAACATTCACAATAACCCTATGGGTAAACAAGACGCGAAAAATGAAGTGGACAGTACATGGTAAAGCTGAGATTCCAACTCAGGCAGTCAGACTCCAGGGGAAAATGATGCGTGACAGCCCCAGCCTTCAAGGAGCTCGCAGTCTAGACAGGGGACCCAGAGCAAATAAACGATTCCTCGAAGGTGAATCATATTCTGGTGGAGGTGTACAACAAAGGTCCTGAGACCCCAGAAAAGAGATTGTTTATGGTCAAGCATCACTTGTTTACTAGCATTCTTTGTCACCACGCTTCCTTAATTTTTCCCTCTCCTCATTTTTACAAGAAAATCAAATTTAAAAATCGTTCCCTTCATAATTTTCTAATTAGTGGGATTTTTCCCCATCTTCTTTGATATTTGTGAAATAATTACATCTGGCTTAGAGCAACTTTTTTTTTTTTTTGAGAACAGATTTTGTATAAAACATTGTTCAAAGAAGTGAAAATTCAAATAAGTCATCAAGCAGGTTGATCTGCTTCAGGTGGGGACCAGGCTAACTACAACGCTGATTGTGCCTATGTTGAATAACAGCACAGTGGCACCAGATCTTTCTCTCTCTCAAGAGAAAATGACATCTATTTTTTTTTCTTTCAATATTTTACTAAAGCACACTAACGCAGATATTTTGAATATACGGTGCAGGATAAACAAAACAATTCTCAGGATGAATTTCACTTATAGCTCCCAGGTTACAATTTCTGTTTGAAAAATAATAAAGTTCTATTTGTGCCTTTAAGGAGTTTACAATATAGTGATAAGAAGATAGTAATAATAAGATATACAGAAAAAAATATATAATGTGAGAGAAAGATAGTAAATGCCAGAGAAATGGAATGCGGGATCATGGTTAGCAATTTCAGCTGAGATACAAGGGCAAGCAGAAGCAATATTTGTGCTGGCCTTGAAGGATGTGAGTGATTTTACAGGTGGTACAGAGAAGAAAGGGCATATAAAGCAGAGAACAAGATGAAAAAAAGCACAAGTGGAAAAAAATGCATGTTGCATGTGAGCAAAGAGGAAGGGAGCACTTAGGTTCTGTCATGGATTGCAAAGGGATAGAGCGAGAGATATGAATGGTGAATGGGAAGTGGGCCAGATTGTGTGGGACTGTGAAATTCATACTTTGTGATACTTTATTATGTAGGATGTAGTTCCATGATACACCAATATAGTACATGTTAGATATCTTTTTTAAAAGTAAATCAATTAAAATAAAATTTGATAGTCCAAAAATTGGGAAAGGCTACATACCATATCAATCTCTGGATGATCCTCAAAGCTGACTCACAAAGTAGATTGTCTAAGAACTAACCCCTATTCAGTAACGAAGTTACTGTTTAGCTTTGTTAATCCAGCTTGTTATATTGCATAATTTTTGTCTTTTCTTAGAATATTGATTTTTATCCTAAGAACAGAAATTTCAGCTAACATCACTAAATGCAACAGGAGAGCCACTGAGACCTTCATGCAATGAAGTGATGGGATGCTGGTAGCTGTGGTACCTTAGACGTTTTTAGAGAATTGTGAACCAGAAAAGAAGGGGACAGACTAGGAACAGAAAATCAGCTGCAAGGCTATCACAATAGCCCATAGAAATAATAATGGCTTCCTATTACACAGCCCTGCCAATATGCTGGACATATTTGAGGTGCTGTTCATGTTGTATATGTTTTGTAATGAGAACCAAAATTGGGATAATAGCAGCAATCAATATCTAGTTGAGAGGCAAAGATGGACAAGCCAGCATCCACCATCCCCATTCTCAGCATCCCAGATTCATCTCCTTTTTTTTTCCTCTTCTCTGTTTTCTACTACCCCTGCTTTTCTTTTGTTGAGTCCCAGTATATATGCCCTACAACTCCAATTTAAAAGAAAACAAACTTGAAATTTGAATGCTGCCACTAAATCACTTTTCAATTATTTGTGCTCTCTGCCCTTTTCAATTATAGTGCAGTGCTCTCTGCCCTTTTCTAAAAAGAAATGTTATTAGCTAGAACTAACAGAAATTCAGCGGTTAGCTGTGTGAGGTATTTTTTTTTTTTTTTTTTTTTTTGGCGGGGGGGGATTAGTGCATGCTGGGGGCTGTGGGATAGGATTTAGTGCCCAAATCCTACTTTCTCCTTTTCTTTTCCCGGGTTCTAAACATGTAAGGATCAATAGCCAAGCAGAAACAAATTTCAATTCTTGTTAACAACTGAGCTAGTGCCTGATCTTTCCCACCACCCTCCCTTAAAAAGACTTCTCTGATATGACAGCTAGATCCCTAGTGTAGGCCAGGAGCCAAGAAAGCTTTGGTTTCCCACAATCTGTGACTAAATGTCTGCATCCTTAGAGCAGATTTCAAGCCTACTTACCCAGGTGTCCTTATGTATGAGCAGTGAATGGCAGATCTTCCTTCCCCACCTGTTGCAGTGGGGAGAGAGAGCCTGGAGCAGGGGCAGAGCTGCTGAGGCAAGACCCACTCAGTCTGTATAGCCTAGAGACTGGAAGTGCAAAGGAGCGCATGAAGACGACCAAGGCCAGTTCTGAGAAGCTAGTTCCTCTGTCAGTCAGCCAGTGAAGGTAGAACTCCTGCCTTATCTTTTAATAGCTATGATTCTGCCCATTAGGGAGGAAGGTTCAGAGAATGTTAGATTCACCAGTCAGACCTGCTGCTTCTCTGAGGGGAAGGAAAATAAGATGGTGGGAAAAGAAGGAAGTTAGGAAGCAAAAGTTCCCTTTTCATGGGACTGAGGCTAAAACTTGATCTAAGAACAAAAGTATTCCTACTTCTTCAAAGTATATCATTTTAGGAAAGCAAGACAAAGCTCCTGTCCAAAATTCTTTCTGCACTGAGATATCAGATCCCATCATCAATAGTTTATTTGTGATGACATTTGATATTGTCCTTTGACTATGATATCTTTTAATATGACTGTTCCTGAGGGGGGTAACATATACAGTATGTAGTACTTGGATGAGAATTTGTTTTGCTTGGGGCTACAAGAGAGGAGTGGGTTTCAGGAACAAGAAGGTAGGCTAAGAAAAAAAGAAAGTGGAAGAGCCTTAAAGATAACTGTGTCTGCTTCATAATTACACACCTAGTTGGATATGTGATTACCATAATTCTCACATGTACTACTAACTTTCTCCATCTATTTCAAGGATGACTGTGGGTGAAGTTTTGGATGTTAACAATGCCCCATCTCCTGGTTTTTCAGTAAAAATATATGAGAAATGTGGAAATTTATGCAACAAATTTATATATATATGTGTGTGTGTGCACATATATATACAGATAGATAGATAGATACACCCATAAGGTATTATGTTAGGGTACTATAACCAAGTCAATTTTATCTATCTTATTAATTGAGCACAGTTGGAAGAATAGTGAGACTCAAATGATTTCTGGGGTTGATCAATTTCCAGGGAGATTTTCTAAAAAGGGACAAAATAACCAGTTTATCATAACCTTAACAACATTATTTTCAGGTTAGTTCAAAATAGAAATTATGGGACAGAGGAGAAAATTTTTATTCTTTTCATTTTTTTGAATTTCATCCTCACCCTCCTCCTGCCCTCCACCTTCTAGTATACCCTGGTGTCTCTTGTTCCCCTCTTTGTGTCCATGTGTACTCAATGTTTAGCTCCCGCTTATAAGTGAGAACACATGGTGTTTGGTTTATTCTAAGTGAATTAACCCTTACGTTAAAAGGGAGAAAAAGAGGAGAACATTTTTTAAATCATAACTTCTTAAATTTTATTTTGTCACCTCAATTATTTCCAGGGGAATAGAAACCCTTTCAGGATGATGTAGCTTTGGAATTTCTTAACGACGTGTGGATATGCTTGAAGATTTGACAAGTTCACTTGAAATCTTGTGGTTCAATAAGGCAGCCTTTTCTGTGGAGACAGAAGACTAAGCTATGCTACAGTGGCTTAGGAGACACATGACAACTTAACAATAGACCAGCACGCTGGCAGGAGAAGTCATTTATTTTACCTTGTATTCTCTTTACGTGATAGTACACAGAAAGTCAAATGCATGTCCATGCATTCATAAAACAACAAAATAGAAATTAATTTGCCTTACCCATGGAAATTTCAGTTACTGCATGCTTAGCTGCTGTGCTTGTCTTCGGAAAGTTCATCCTTGAAGGCTGAATAAAATTTTCCTGTTCTGCTTCTTTATATAAAGAAGTCTATGGTTTGCTTAAACATGGGAAAGCTCGTTTTATTAAGTATCCTTGATACTGTGATTGCATTCTTCAGAATATTAGCTCTGCTACCAATTTTCAAATACTTTTTAATAGTTTGCACGGTTGGCTTCTGAGAGCATCTCTGAATGGGATTTTCCCAGCTATTTTCACACCTTATGTCCATATCACATTTCACTCTTCTGCAGCACTTAGATCTTCAGCACAGCAGGTGGAAAAGTGATTTAAGGACAGAACAATGGGATGTTTATGCCTTTTTAAAAAAGTCATGGATATGCATTTCTAGCCAACTTTGTTTGGGGAAAGCCTTTTTGCCCCTTTTTAAGACATTTTAAAATCTTTGCTGTACTATATGACAGTCACATTAAAAAACAAGAACAGATTAAATTGGTCATCAGAATTCACAATTTATCTTCACAAAATCGGAAAATTTTGGAGACTGTTGCAAAGTCACATAGTATTCTTGGGCGCTCCGGTTTGTGCTGGGGATAGAAATTAAATGGGAGAAAATTTGCATTCAGACCCCACTTAACTCTCACTAATAACAGACATTCTTGCTTGTGAGTTAGCTCTAGAAGACTATATATCTCCTGCTCCTGCTGCAGACAAGAATTTGCTTCTTTCCTAAGAGCTGATTGAAGAGGAGATGTGCAGCTGGCTGACTGGTTTCTTAAAAGGGGAGAAAAGGAGACTGTGAAAATCTGTGTGTAATGGGCCTGTAGTGACTGTTGGGGTAAGGTGGGAGGAATGAAACATAATTGAAACGGCTGATGAACGGGGAAAGGAGAGGACTCCACATATTCAAGGAAGTGTATAAGCTGGAAATGACTATAGTGAGAAAACAAGACTAGGTAATAGTAACCTTAATATGGTGACACCATAAGGAATTTATCAGGCATAGATATTTTCCATTTTCATAAAGGGTTGAGCTTTTCAAAATATATGTAGAAATACAAATATTTATTACCCTAGACCAAGGTTTCTCAACTTCAGCACTATTGACATTTTGGGCCAGGTATGTATTTGTTCTGAAGGTGTGTCTTGCATATTATGGGATGTTCAGCAACATCCCTGGCCTCACCTGCTAGAGGCTGCAATTCCCCCGCCCCCTTGGCTACATAATAATATATGCAAGTGTCAAGGCCCTTAAGATTCACATTTAATTGGCCGGTATTATGACTCAGGCATTAGCATGATTTTTAAGTTCCTGAGATGATTCTAATAAGTCTAATTGTTTAGGAAACAATGTGTCCAGTGTTCCTTAATGAGAGTACAAAGTTGAATGAGAAATCATCCCTGTTCTGGAGAGGCTTAGGAATAGCAAAGAGATGGGCACACACTGAATATTTTTCCAACATATTATAGTCCATTTCCTTAAGGTCAAACGCACAATACACTATGTCAGCACAAAAGGAGAGCTGATACCTTAAAGATACAATATTCTTCTGAAATGTTTTTCAGTACCTGAAATCCTCACATTTTAGAATTATATATTTGTAATCTTGAAATAGGTAAAGATTTCTTAAACAGAATGCTGAAAGTCTTAGCCATAAAGTAAATAATTCATAAATTGGAAATTGGCATTAAAATTAAGAATTTAGGGGCATTAAAACTAAAGACTGTACTGGGCATTAAATTTTAGAATTTATGTTTATTGGACAAAACTAAGAAGCAGGTGAAAAGGTAAGCCACAGAGTAGATATTCACAACACATATATCTGAAAAGTAGTCATATCTGGAAAATATAAAAAACTCATATAAATCACTTTTTTTTTTTTTGAGACAGAGTTTTGCTCTTGTCCCCCAGGCTGGAGTGCAATGGCCCTATCTCGGCTCATTGCAACCTCTGCCTCCCGCATTCAAGCGATTCTCCTGCCCCAGCCTCCCGAGTAGCTGTTATTACAGGCGCCCACCACCATGGCCAGCTAATTTTAGTATTTTTAGTAGAGAAGAAGTTTCACTATGTTGGCCAGGCTGGTCTCAAACTCCTGACCTCAGGCGATCCACCTCCCAAAGTGCTGGGATTACAGGCATGAGCCACCACGCCCACTGTCAAATTTTTAAAAGAGAGAAAAATCCAGGCCGGTGCGGTGGCTCACACCTGTAACCCCAGCACTTTGGGAGGCCAAGGCGGGCGGAACACAAGGTCAGGAGATGGAGACCATCCTGGCTAACACGGTGAAACCCTGTCTCTACTAAAAATACAAAAAATTAGCTGGGCGTGGTGGCAGGCACCTGTAGTCCCAGGTACTCGGGAGGCTGAGGCGGGAGAATGGTGTGAACCCGGGAGGCAGAGCTTGCAGTGAGCCGAGATCGTGCCACTGCACTACAGCCTGGGCGACTGAGCAGAACTCCGTATCAAAAAAAAAAAAAAAAAAAAAAAAAATCCAATACAAGTGGACTGGAAAAGGTACTTTATAAAAGGGTATTTATAGACATTTGATTGACTTATGAAAAGGTGCTCAATATTATTAGGCATTGGGGAATGCAAATTAACTACCAAAAAAATCACAACGAGATACCGGTACATTTTCACTCAAATATCTAAAATTAAATGACATCATTATGAAGCATATGAAGCAACTGAAACTCACATACAATTTACTATTATATACAAATACATACACACTATATACACACTTTTGCACATACACATATAGGCATATTTCAGAAATATTTTACATTCAGTTCTAGGCCATTGCAATAAAGCAAAATTCACGATAAAGCAAGTTACATAAGTTTTTTGGTTTCCAGTGCATATAAAAGTTATATTTACACTATACTGTAGTTTATTAAGTGTACAGTAGCATTATGTATTAAAAACAATGTATATACCTTAATTTAACAATACTTTATTGCTAAAAAATGCTAACAATCATCCCAGCCTTTAGCAAGCCATACTCTTTTTGCTGATTGACGGTCTTGCCTCAGTGTTGATGGCTGCTGACTGATTAGGGTGGTGGTTGCTGAAGACTGAGGTGACTGTGGCAGTTTCTGAAAATAAGAAAACAAGGAAGTTTGCCACAATAATTGAATCTTCCTTTCACAAGATTTCTCTGTAGCGTGTGATGCTGTTTGACAGCATTTTACCCACAATAGAACTTTCAAAATTGGAGTCAGTTCTCTCAAATCCTGCCACTGCTTTATCAACTAAGTTTATGTAATATTCTAAATCCTCTCTTGTCATTTCAACAACGTTCACGGCTTCTTCACCAGGTGTGGATTCTATCTCATGAAACCACTTTCTTTGCTCATCCATAAAAAGCAACCCCTCATCTGTTTTAGTTTGATCATTTAGTTTGCAGCAATTCAGCCACATCTTCAGGCTCCACTTCTAATTCTGGTTCTCTTGCCATTTCCACCTCATCTGCAGTGACTTCCTCCACTGAAGTCTTGAGCCCTTCAAAGTCTCATGAACCATCCTCTCCTAGCTTTTTCTTCTGCAATTCCTCAGCTTTCTCAGACTTCAAATAATTGAAGATAATTAGGACCTTGAGCTGGATTAGGCTTTGGTTTAAGGGAATCTTGCGTCTGATTTGATGTTCTATCCAGACAAGTAAAACTTTCTCCATATCAGCAATAAGACTCTTTCACTTTCTTACCATTTGTGTGCTTGCTGGAGTTGTGCTTTTAATTTCCTTCAAGAACTTTTCTTTTGCATTCACAACTTGCTTAACTGGTGCAAGAGGGCTAGTTTTGAGCTTATCTCAGCTTTCAACATGCCTTCCTAAGCTTAATCGTCTCTAGCTTTTGACTTTAAGTGATTCTTTCTTTCACTTGAACACTTATAGACCATCATAAGGTCATTAATTGGCCTAATGTAAATATTGTTGTGTCTCAGGGAATAGGAGGCCTGAGGTGATGGAGAGAGATAGGGGAATGGCCAGTCAGTGAAGCAATCAGAATCAGCAATCACAACATTTATTAAGATCACCATCTGACCTGGGTACAGTTTGCGGCACCTGAAAACATTTATAATAATAGCATCAAAGATCACTGATCACAGATCACTATTACAGATATAATAATAATGAAAAAGTTGAAATATTGCAAGAGGAGTTGCCAGAAAGTGACACAGACACATGAAGTGAGAGCATGCTGTTGGAAAAATGGTACTGATAGACTTGTTCGATGCAGGGTTGCTACAAACTTCCAATTTGTAAAACAAAACAAAAAAGGAATATCTGTGAAGCACAATAAAGCAAAGTACAATAAAATGAGCTATGCTTATATATGTATATCCCAAAATTTATATACAAGAGTCTTCAAGGTAGCATGTAGAAAATGCTGTCAGTGCCTCACTTGTATCTTCTTACCACTCACTATTCTCAGACATGCCAATGGCTTCTCAATAGAAGTATCTGTGACTCTCTGCCAGAGAGCTTTGTCTGGTCAGACAGCCTCTACCTATAGAGAACATACCAAAAATGCCATGAAGTTACCACTCTACCATAAACCAATGACAAATGAGAGTTGTCCCATCCAAGCTGATGAGTAAGCTGGGGTTTTATGTCCCAATTTCCACTCCACTGTCTCCCACAAGGCCCCAGTGAGGCTGAGACCCACTTGCCCTCAGCAGTAACTTGGTCACTGACACATCCTGTATTGGATTCATTCCTGTTTGTCTTATTTCTCCATTGCCCTATAACCTCCCAAATCAACTACGTGAATTCAAATTTAGTCTTGGGGTTTGCTTCTAGGATAACCCAGCTAAAGATAGAACATTGTTTATATAAGTTAAAAATTGAAAGAAAATTTTTTTAAAAATGTCCATCAACAAAAGAATGGATAAATTGTGGCACATCATATGATAAAATACTATGCATCAATAAAAATAAACTAGAGCTCCTCATCACTACATGATGAATGAATTTCATAAAGCTTAATTTTGAACAAAAGATGTTAGATACAAAATAATACATACTTACATTAATATAAAGTTCAATATCAGGCAAAATAGTCTGTGGTTGTTATGAGTTGAATTGTGTTCCCCAAAAAGAGATATTTTGAAGTCATAACCCTAGTATCTCACAATATGACCTTATTTGGAAATAGTGCTTATACAGGTAACCAAGTTAAAATAAGGTCATTAGGGTGGGCCCCAGTCCAATATGGCTGGTGTTCTTACAAAAAGGGAAAATATAAACACAGAGACACAAGGAGAACACTGTGTGAATGTGGAAGATCAGAGTAATGCATTAACAAGCCAAGGAACACCGAAGATTGCCGGCATACCACCAGGAGCTAAGAGAGAGGCATGGGAGAGATTCTCCCTCACAGTCCTCAGAAGAAACAAACCTTGCTGACACCTTGATTTCAGGCAGACCATGAGACAATAAACTTCTGTCATCTCAAGCCACTCAGTTTGTGGTACTTCGTTATGGCAGCCCTAATACACTAATACAATGGTTGTAGAAAGTAAGATAGTGATTGCCTTTGGGGCTGAGGAAGGGTGGAATGATAGGGACGGGAACAAGGGAACTGGTAATGCTCTGTTTCTTAACAGTCACAGTGTTACATGTGTGTGTTCACTTCATGATAACCCACTTTTTCAAAATGCTTTTTTTTGTATGCATTAAAACTCAATGAAAATTTTTACAAATCTAAACACTTATTAGAGCAGATGAGAAAAAAGCAGTACACTGTGTAATGAAGAGGGCAAGAGTTGGGGAAAAGAAGGTAGGAAAAAAATGTGATAGTATCTGTAGTTCACATTAAAGAAGGTCCCTAAGCAAAGATTCAATGACCACTATGGACTTTCAGCTCAAATAAATCAGGTTAGCCCTGTCCCCTGAATTGCGGGTAGGAGGATTGGAATCTCCATAATTTCCACTCATTTCTATTTTCCCTATGCCCCTACCTCCCCATTCTTCCTTCTTAGTCTGAGAGTAGATTGTTTCTGAGTTGCCTAGAGTATTGACAATTTCAACAATAATACGTAGAATCTAGATAGAAAAACCAGTAAAATTTATAATGAAGACTAACCATGGTAACATTTCAAGGGAACTGAAGAGAGTCCTCTTCAAAAGTCATAGCACCGTTAAAAAAAAAAAAAAAAAAAAAGCTATTTTAGTATCTTTTCTCAAACATTCACTTTCTCTGTGGCATGTTACGTATTTACTGAGTGTTTTCCACACGTAAGACTGAGTACTGAAGACATCTAAGTGGTGCTTTGTCCCAGCTGTTATACTCAGCTGATGACTGTGAGAAAGGCTTCAGTGATTTTGTTCCTAATCAGTAAGTAAACTAATTACTGACAGCCAGTGATTCATTCTTATTCTTTCCTATCTTCTTGCTGCATGAGGTTCGTAAAATATTTTGTTTGCTCTAACCAAAGGATTTTGGTTTCTTTACCTCTTGACTTCTAACATAGTCTTTCCAGGGAGATGACACTGTCTTTCACCTATATCTTAATTCTGATTCATCAGATTAGTTCACAGAAACATTAATGAGGCCCTGGTTGTAAAATTGGAGCCATGTTCCTGCTTGTAGCCTTTTTTTTTTTTTTTTTTTTTTGAGTTGGAGTTTCACTCTTGTTGCCCAGGCTGGAGTGCAATGGCGCGATCTCAGCTCACTGCAACCCCTGCCTCCCGGGTTCAAGCGATTCTTCTGCCTCAGCCTCCCAAGGAGCTGGGACTACAGGTGTGCCACCACATCCAGGTAATGTTTTGTATTTTTAGTAGAGACAGGGGCTTCACCATTTTGTCCAGGCTGGTCTTGAACTCCTGACCTCAGATGATCCGCCTGTCTCAGCCTCCCAAAATGCTGGGATTACAGGAGTCAGCCACTGCGCCCGGCCACTGCTAGTAGCTTTTGCAATCTTTATCAGTGTTTATGAATGCGAACCCAAGCAGTGGAGGTAATATTCCCTTTACTGAAGGCCTAAGAGCCACACTATTCTCTTACCTTAATTGGACTTCTGTCTGAGAAGAAAAAAATAATGAATTTAATCTCTCCTGCCATTGACTTATGATATCTTTAAGGTATAGACTTGCTGCCTCTCTACCAAATGATTCCTAGGAGGACTGGTCACCTTGGTATTCAAGCCAAGTTCCCATTCGAAACTGGGGTCAGAACTAATTGGATAATAAGCTAACCCGAGAAATGATTCTCCTGACCCAAAGCCACATCCGACTCCTTCTGAAAGTGAAGACCTGATTTTGAAGCACCCGAGTGATGAGGAGCTTGAAATTAGAGTTTGGAGAAGGTTGTAAGTCTTTTATAAAAAATTCTTCCATCTTCCTGGTTGTTCTTTTTCTTCCCCTTCTAGTTTGGTTTCTTTCATGCTGTTGCAACACCAGTGAAAGGTGAAGTGATGTATTTTTCCATTTCTGATGATGCTTACTCCCATGGTGAGACTTAACTTGAGAAACAGCAAATTCCCTGGAGTTTCTTCACGCCAAAGAACTATGCATATTCTCACTCACAGGTGGGAATTGAACAATGAGAACACATGGACACAGGAAGGGGAACATCACACTCTGGGGACTGTTGTGGGGTGGGGGGAGGGGGGAGGGATAGCACTGGGAGATATACCTAATGCTAGATGACGTGTTAGTGGGTGCAGCGCACCAGCATGGCACGTGTATACATATGTAACTAACCTGCACATTGTGCACATGTACCCTAAAACTTAAAGTATGATAATAATAATAATAATAATAAAGAAAAAAAAGAACTATACAACTGATTGTTGGAGAATCATGGTTTCAGTTCACAGGGTTCTATTTTCCTAGTGAGTCATTTGACTTAGAGGCAACTCTAAATGCACCAGGAAGGCAACAGGATCAATACACTAGGGCTTCAAGCTCTCTGCCACTTGAAGCCACTCCAGCAGCACCTAAGAGCTTGCTTTTCTTACTTGCTTCCTCATTACCCAGGTCAATATTGCCATTGCGTTCGAAATAACCGTTCAAGGACAGGATTTTTTCTCACATGTGGAATATTTGACATATGTGGTTCACCTTTTTCTTCTTGGTTCTTATTTCATTCTTTCCCATTCTAGTACAGACAGAGCAACCTAAGGATCTTTATTACAAGCTAAGGAGCAGAGCATTTCTTCTCAAAATGGCTTTTTTTTGTTTAGAATTTGTAATGTATGCATTTGAAGTAATTTGTTTTATGTATTTGAAGGATGTAGAAACTAGACTGAATTTTGTTACATATTTTACACATTAACAAAACAAATTTAGTAAAAGGTAAATGTATTAAAAAATAACATTCCACCAAAAGTAGCATTTGTTTATTCACCACCCACTTTTCAAGCAGTTGTTCCAATATTTGTAGCAGCATTATTTTTGTAATTTATTTACTTTAAAGCTACTCTGCCTGACCTTGCTTAATTATCTTTATACTATTTTAACTTTATAATTTCTTTTTTATCAAAATAATACATGTACATAGTTTTTACAGGAATATAAACACACTTATAAGAAATCAGAAAAGTTTCTTGCTTCATCCTTCCCCAAGCTAAGTCTACTCTTCACTGGTGTTCACTTTGCCTTTCAATAATGTTTACTCTCCATTTTCTCTTTCTGGAACTCTTGTTGGTTACATGTTGAAATTCCACAGAGTAATTCTTTTCCTGTTGTATTTTCTACTTGCCATCACAGCATTTTGGTCAAACTTTGAGATTTTTCTCAAATTTATCTTTCAGTCTTTATGTTAATTCTATTTCTGCTATTTGCCTTCCAAAAGCTCATTCTTGTTCCCTGAATATTCATTTTAAGGATATCTTGTGCCTACCTCATGGATGCAATATCTTCACTTATCTCTCTTGAGCATATTGTTTTGAAGACTTTGACTTCACATCCTGCACTGCTCTGCTTTCTCCATTTTTTTTTTTTTTTATTTTCTGGTTGTTTTAGTCTCTTTCAATCAGTTTTATTGTTTGTTAAGTACACTAATTTTAAGAACTTTATATTCAAAAATTGCTATGAGAACAGTGAATTATTTAAAGATATAAAACATATTACTTTAGAAGTGCTTACCAGAAATTATCTAATAACATCAACTGAACATTGGTAGAGGTTGGGTGCATACTTGATAATAATGAAATTAATAACACAGTAAGAACCTGAGGGTTCTTATTCTTACATCTGATATCAAATGAGTTAAAATATTCAATATTTTTCTTATTTGTAACATGAAAGGAGTTCCTAAAATTCTTAATGAACTTTCTCTAATCATAGAATAAACAAATTTAGTTTTATGTGACATAAGAATTCTGATATTGATTACTATACCTGAAAATATAGTAATAATGTTTCAACTCCTGTGTTCACTTGTCCTAACCAATACTAAAATTTAGTATAATACTGTGGTAGTTATAAAATGACCATACAACTGTGGAAAGAGACCAAGAGAAACAAGAAATGGTATAAAAATTTGGGTATCAGGGGATTTAATATATGACAAGTATTATAAATCAGTGGAAAATTATTAACTTAGTACTTTATAATTTTCACTTATAAATTATTGTATGGTAATATACATTTTAAAAGGTGTACGATATTTTATTATTTAGTATTTAAATTGTTAGCCATTTGAGAAAAAAAATGAATTGAAATCCTAACTCATACTTTAAAGTAAATTTGAAGTGCATTAAATTTTTGAATATAAAAAGGAAAGCCATAAAAGTAGTAGAAAAAGGTTTAGATAAATATTTTAATAATCTTGGAGTAGGAAAGGATTTTTTGGACTGATAAGTAAACTAGTAGTTATAAGAAAGAGATGGATAGAATCAGTTACCTAAGGTTTTAGCAATCTGTTTGGGAAAAAGCACAAAGTTAGAAGAATCTTTCCAACATATATATATACATATATGACAAGCATTTAATATGTTCAGTTTATATACAGCTCTTACTTTTTTAATTTTGAGATGGGATCTCACTCTGTCACTCAGGTTGGAGTACAGTGACACAATCTTGGCTCACTGCAACCTCTGCCTCCCAGACTTAAGTGATCCTCCCACCTCAGCCTCCTGAGTAGCTGGGAACACAGGCATGTGCCACTACACCCTGCTAACTTTTTGTATTTTTGGTAGAGATGAGGTTTCATCACATTGCCCAGGCTGGTCCTGAACTCCTGAGCTCAAGCGATCCACCTACCTCAGCCTCCCAAAATGCTGGGATAACAGATATGAGCCATCACACCTGGCCTACATATTAATTTTTAAAAACATATAAACATCCCAAAAGAAAACAAGCGAAAAATGTGTGAACCAGAAATTCACAAAATAAATACATATAATTTTTAAAAATATTAAGATACAACCAGACCCTCTAAAAGTCAAAGAAATAAATACAGATTAAAATAAGATGTGTTTCCTGTCAGTTTGTCAATTATTAAAAAGATAAAAATACCCAAGGTTAGTAAGATTGTGGAGAATGGACATTCCCATACAATGTTCATGGGAGTATTAGTTGGTAAAACAAAACCAAACAACAAACAAAAAACAGCTTTCCTTGGCAAGCCAGTAATCTGTAGCTAAATTTTTAAAGAACCTACGCTTTGACCCAACAGTTTTTCTTCTATGAATTTGCTCTAAGTAAATAACTAGATAATGAGGTTTATAAAGGGAAAACCTTAGAAACAACATAAATGTTAAAACTATAAGAATATTTAAGTAGCTTGGTACTTAGCTACAAGATAATAGTATACAGCTATTGAAAATAAAGATAATTTATTAAAAGATTAATTTTTTAAAAAATTCTCAATATTTCACTAAGTAAAAATATACATTACAAAACAATAGCTAAGTATAATCATGCCTACTAATGGAAGTGTGGGGAAAAGGATGGAGGAGCAGGCTCTGAATTGGGTCAGAAGTGAGGTTTGGATAAAGCAGTAGGTAGAATTGAATAACATCTCCCTCCTCCCATCTTCTCCCTCCCTGTCCCTCAGTAGTTCTCACTTTTATGAGCAGCTTTCCTTTTTCATGAAGTTCTTTTTATTACTTTTATTATCATTATCACTAACACATATGTTAAGTGCTTACTGTGTGGCAGGCATTGTGCTTAACATGTTATATGATTTATCTCATCAAATCGTCAAAAGAACTCTTATTCCCAATTTGCAAATTAGGAAACAGAGTCAGAAAGGTCCTTGCTGAAGGACACACAATTATTAAAAGACAGAAACGAGAATCACACAAAGTCCATCTAACCCCAAAACTACACACTCAACTACTACATCACCCTGTGTTACAATGAACTTGAAACCAATTCACAACTGGAGTACAGACACAAAGAGATATATGTGATGGGTTTGTGAAGTGTGGTAGAAAGGAGGTGGAGGTTGGTAAAGTCAAATTGTAGGGTGAGATAACAAGAACACTACAAAGAAACAAATAACAATAAGTGAATAATAAATTGGGCATATAATATTTATAATAGAACTTGATTCTGGTATGAGGTTTTATTATAAACTACCCAGCCCAGCCCTCTAGGGGCACCTATATCCTTTAGACAAGAGAGGGCTATTTTGTAAAATATAAAGTCCTCTTTTTACCAAGAGCCCAAGTAATTCATTGAAGGATCCTTTTAGCCCATACAATAACTGGATCCAGTTTTCCCTAAACAGTGTTTCCTGGACAGCGTTTCCCTGTAAGTTAGAGCAGCCTGAGCCTCAGAGAAGGTGGAATGAAGCTCGCAGGGGAGGCAACAAAGACAGCCAATACTCACAGGGTCAGACACTGCAGCGTCCTCTAAATTCCAATCTCTTTCCATAGTATGGAAGTAGCTGAGCACATTAGCTAAGCTACATTTTTACAGCCTCTTTTAAGGTTGAGTGTGTCCCTGTGACTAATTTCTAATCAATGAAGTATGAATGGAAATATGTGCCATATTTATACTATCTGCTTCTGCTGGGTGGATGCTGATGAAGAGGAGGGCCTAGGCAGGGGCACAGCTTCACTAAGCAGTGGCACAGCTTCAAGATGGAAGGAATCTGGGGTTTTGAATCACAATGTGAAGGACAGACACCCAGCAACCAAAATCTTAGACTGCTACATGAGGGAGAAATAAACAATTTGGGGTCTATTTACCAACACAGGCAAGCCTACCATGAGTAACAGAGTTTCTCTATGTGTCACATAGGTATCAGCAACATTTGTCTTCTAATTCTAAGAAAAGAGTAAAGATTGGCAGTGAAATAGAAGCACACAGTAGTAGAACAGAGTACGTGGCATAGAAATGGGTGATCAGAGGGGTGGTGTATGTTGGCAAGACAAACATGATGAGCAGCAGCTGGAAGAGAGGAAGCATGTATGCTCAGAGCTTCTGCTCTTAGGGACTTGCAGAATCCTGTAAAAAAGAGACAGGGTTGAGGGTGGCCCACTTGGCTGAGTGCTACTGACCCTGTTCACTTAGGAAATTTCAAAGTCTACTTACGTAGATTCTACATACAGCTAGGTTGTATGTATTTGTGTGAATATGAGCATGCTGTATATAGACACAGGCATATATGTAGTCAGAATTAATGTCAATATTAAATTTAATATCCAAAATATTAAACTATCAGAGTTGAAGTATGATAGGTAGTTTAATTTTTTTCTTTCTGAATCATCTGAACTATTGAAAAGAATCATATCATGCATCTGTAATGCAAAAAATGTTCTTTATTTTGAAGCAGAAAAATTCTTCCTGTTTTATATTTTCATGAAAATATTTAAGATGGGAAACATTTTATTGGCTGTACATAAATAAATACGTAATAAGAATGAGACACAATGTTTTGTCCAATTCTTATCATGAAGTCTTTCAAGAAGGGAATACATGCCCATCATAAAACATATGACTACATGTTTGTAAATCCCCCATTACATAATAAGCATTGTATTGTATTCATGATTATCACCGGTACTTGGCACCCTTTGATACTCAGTAATGGTAAGTGAATGAATGTATAAATGCATGAGCACTTTAGTAGCTTTTGAAGTGTAACTTTCAATGGTAACTGATAAATTATTTCAGCCTTGGAATCACCATTTCCTGTTATTTCAGTGTATGGCATAAAGTAATTGACTAATCACACGTAAGACACCTAAACAAGTGTTCTTTTTTTTCTTTCACTTTACATATCACAGCTCCATTCAACCCAAATAAAGATGCAGATAGCATAGTCAAGTTTGACACTTTTGGAGATGGAATGGGGCGATACAACGTGTTCAATTTCCAAAATGTAGGTGGAAAGTATTCCTACTTGAAAGTTGGTCACTGGGCAGAAACCTTATCGCTAGATGTCAACTCTATCCACTGGTCCCGGAACTCAGTCCCCACTTCCCAGTGCAGCGACCCCTGTGCCCCCAATGAAATGAAGAATATGCAACCAGGGGATGTCTGCTGCTGGATTTGCATCCCCTGTGAACCCTACGAATACCTGGCTGATGAGTTTACCTGTATGGATTGTGGGTCTGGACAGTGGCCCACTGCAGACCTAACTGGATGCTATGACCTTCCTGAGGACTACATCAGGTGGGAAGACGCCTGGGCCATTGGCCCAGTCACCATTGCCTGTCTGGGTTTTATGTGTACATGCATGGTTGTAACTGTTTTTATCAAGCACAACAACACACCCTTGGTCAAAGCATCGGGCCGAGAACTCTGCTACATCTTATTGTTTGGGGTTGGCCTGTCATACTGCATGACATTCTTCTTCATTGCCAAGCCATCACCAGTCATCTGTGCATTGCGCCGACTCGGGCTGGGGAGTTCCTTCGCTATCTGTTACTCAGCCCTGCTGACCAAGACAAACTGCATTGCCCGCATCTTCGATGGGGTCAAGAATGGCGCTCAGAGGCCAAAATTCATCAGCCCCAGTTCTCAGGTTTTCATCTGCCTGGGTCTGATCCTGGTGCAAATTGTGATGGTGTCTGTGTGGCTCATCCTGGAGGCCCCAGGCACCAGGAGGTATACCCTTGCAGAGAAGCGGGAAACAGTCATCCTAAAATGCAATGTCAAAGATTCCAGCATGTTGATCTCTCTTACCTACGATGTGATCCTGGTGATCTTATGCACTGTGTACGCCTTCAAAACGCGGAAGTGCCCAGAAAATTTCAACGAAGCTAAGTTCATAGGTTTTACCATGTACACCACGTGCATCATCTGGTTGGCCTTCCTCCCTATATTTTATGTGACATCAAGTGACTACAGAGTAAGTCTTTGATTGTTTCTTATTTTTCTTGTTCTTTCTCCTCCAGTGTTTCTTGTGTAGTATTTAAAATAGACTCCTTTTATTTCATCTCAACGAGTTGGGTAATTTCAAATGCCATGATGAGCCTGTATATTGTATGTTAAAATTAATTATGTATGTAGATAGCATTTAATTAGTACCTACCACATGCAGAGCACTGTGCTAGGCACAGAGGGGAAGAGAAATATAAATGATACGGTCATTTACCCAATTTATAATCTAGTGGGAGATAAAATGTAATACACGTACACATAATGTTAATTAAACTTAAAAAGCGATTGACAATAGAATAAGACATAAACTAAGAATCTAATTGTGAATCTATTTGAGAATACTTTAAATTAGATATAGGAGGACTCGGCTACCATGGATCAATCTGTAAATTAAAATACACTTGCAATATTAAGCCAGGATAAGTTTAAAGATAGAAACTTTCACTCATGCTTCATTATTTCTCTAAAACAGATTAAAATACAATGTTAATTTGCTATGTCTTTTCTATAGCTTTAGTTATATGTACATATATATTTTTCTTTAACTAGTTAAAAATTTTACTGTACATATCCAGGTAACCTAATTAACATATAATAGGGTATTAGTAATATACAGTTCAAATTTATGGGCTCCCTTATAATTACCATCTCTTTTGAAAGAAACTTCTTCATTCCATTATAATATTCCAAACTGTTAAAATGCTACATAAAATGTAGCATTTTATAATTCTGATTTCAGTATCTTACAATGAGTGAGTATAAGAATGTTTCTCTCTTCAGGTATTTGTTTTTTATTCTCTATGTTTCTTAAATTGTCAGAGATTAAAGTTTTCCAGAAGCATAATGGTTTACTTGCTGCACCATGATTTCACAAAATGAAGTGCCTCCATCAGTTGTAAAAATCCTCAAATCTGCTGTTTACCAGCAATTCCTACATCGCCAAAATCTAGAAAATTGCAGCCCAAAAAGAAGACAGAGTAGATACAAAATTTCAGTTAGATAGGAAGAATAATTCAAGAGGTCTGTTGTATAACATGGTGACTACATTGTATTCTTAAAAATCACTGAGGGTCAATTTCTAAGAGCTTTTAGCATAAAAAATGGTAAGTATGTGAAGTAATGCATATGTTAATTAGCTCTATTTACCCATTCCACAATGTATACATGTTTAAAACATCATGTTGTACATAAATGTATACAATTGTTCTTTGCGAATTAAAATAGATAAATACTTTTGTTAAAAAAAGGCAAATCTGTTTAAAGCTTGGAATCAAGATGTTGGCAAAGTATATTGTATCTATTCGCTGTAAATTATTCACAACTATGTAACTGAAACCTATGGGCTACATTAAGGGATGAACAATAAAGATGAAGAAGGTAAGTTCAATGTTGTGGGGCAAGACTACCTATAAAAATTTTGGAAAATTTTAAAAAGAGGAAACATCAGAGCTGATCGGCAAAGTCAAAGAGTGGAGTATATGAACTACAGGGGAGTTGGAGTGTTAGAATTTGAGGATTAACATGGAGAACTATAGTTAATGTATTGTAATGCCCCATCTCTATCTTTTGTCTTTATATATACATCTAGTCCCATATATCTGTAGGATTTTTTTTTAAGTTTTTAGGAAGCCACTGTTAGCAGACATGATTTGGAGTACTGGGACTGCAAAGTAGTTATAATACTAATTATTTTGTCCTGGACATATGATTTGAAACTCTTCATTCTCAAAAGAGCTGGTTAAAAAAATGACAGAGCAGAAAATACTACTGAGAATAAACATAAATAACATTATAAAAATTTAATTTTATTGAGTGAATTAGCATTTACTTCTAAGACACACAAAAAATGACTTTCTTCTTTACATGATAGCAATAGAGTAGAACAACTGACTGAATGGAATTAGCTGAAGACACCAGAACTTTCACCACATAGAAGAAGTCATAAGGCAAATGAAATGGGACAGAGGTTGTGGAATAGAGTTTTTTAAGGTCCGTGATAATTAAGGTATCCAGTGATGCTAAGATCATTTAAAGTCTCAGAAATAATGCCAATCCTAAGTTTACAAAAGAAATGAGAAAGGTAGACTGAAGCCTCCAATGTAGTGGTTTTCAAATTTGGCTGCATATTGAATCAACTGTGTAGCATTAAAAAAATATTGATACCTGGGACACAGCCTCAGAGATTCTGATTTAATTGGCCTGGCCTGTGGCTTGGGCATCAGGATTTTTCAAAGCTTCCCAGGTAACTCTGATTTGCAGCCAGGATTGAAACCCTCAGCTCTAATAAATCACATGCTCTTCTTATCCCACCAATATGTCTAGTTTTGCCTGTACTGTTTTGAAATAGTTGTCAAAGTTAGAAACTTGAGAAACTTTACATAAATATCCAGATTCTTGGTTTTTCTTAACAAAGTAAAAACGTAAGCCCAAATTCCCATACTCAACAATTAGCTGGACCTGAGTAGTGCTCACCCCTGAAGACAGAGCACTCTTATTCCTGTTGCCCCTATCTCCCACTGATCTCTGAATTCTCACACCTGGTCCCTTTCACTTATGAACTTTCATAGACCCTATAAGCATTTGAACTTGGGAACCTTGCTCTAGAAATTCCAGAACAAGACTGAGATTTAAAATTTCCCAGAGGAAAATCGTGTGGTTCGGACAGAATTAGCAGCAATAATTTAAGAGCAGCTGAAAAAATTTTGAGCATCAGTCAACAAGGTTTATATCTCAGTACTTTGCCACCCATTGTGAGTTATAAATAAACATAAGGCATGATTCCAGTCTTCACAAAGTTTATATCTCAGCTGGAAGAAAGATATTAAACAAGAAAGAATTCAAGAATTATAAACACAGAATAGTTTATAATTAAATTGATGATATAAACTCTAAATACCTGTGGGCTCCATAAGAGTTATATGGGTAACATCATGATCTTTCCAGGATCACTTCTTGAAGATGGGATTTTTACCCCGTAACCTTGGCAGGCAAATGCAACTAAGGTATTTAGAGAATATAGGGAATATTCTGGAGACAGGACAGGAAAGAACCAACCAGAAGGAAGCCATATCAGTCTTACTCAGTTGGAAAATGGGCCGGGGGCAGGGCTGGTTCATTTAGATAATGTTTAAGGGCTTTGAGATCTTAAGTTTGTTTTGTTTTGGTTATTTGCTTGGGCAAAAAAGTGACATGATGAAAGGCAAGAGGGAAACAAACCTTCCTGATCAACTGACTCTGCTAGATGCTTTAAGTACATGAGCTCACTTATCTTCATTTTGATAAAATTTGGAAGTAAATTTTATTATCCATTAGAAAGATGAGTAAACAGAGCATAATGACCTTCCCAGGTGGCACAGTTATGAAATAGTAGTTTTTCTGATTCAAATCCATGCCCTTCATACTGTACCACAGACGCATCCATAATATGAAGGACGGATTTGAAAGGGTAGAGTCTAAATCAAGGAGGACTAATTGAAGCTCTTATAGGAATTCAATACAGAGCAAACAAGGAATTCAGTCAGAAAAAAATTTCAAAGGATTTTTGAGAAACTATCCGAGTCATCTCCTGCTGTATCACAACTAACCATTCTCAGATAGTTTAAGAATCAAACACTGAGTCATTGGGATCTAATACATAGCTTAAATTGTGTAAATAAAAATTCAGCCATGTTTGAGTGGAAAGTTATCCATAAAGGAATTCATTTATAGTAATTACTGAGTGTTTTGTTCATGTCTTCCAAAAAATATTTGAGGACTTATTATAGGCCTTGGAGATACTGTTATCAACATAGGCAAGTCTCTCCTCTTTTGTAACTTACAGTCTAGTGGAGAATGAGGTGAAGATGGAGATGGAGCATAAATAATGAATGAATGAAAATGCAGGCTTATTCAGTAGTGAATGCTGTAATGAGATTTTTAAAAAATCACCTTGAAAAGCGGGTTACTGCAGTTTATCTCAAATTTTAACGTGCATGCAAATCACCTGGGGATCTTGTTGAAATAAAGATTCTGATTCAGTAAGAAAGGATGAGGACCAAGAATCTCGATATCAGCAAGCTCCCAGGAAATGGAGATGCTACTAGACTAAGGACCATACTTGGAGTGTCAAGACTCTAGATTCTTTTGGGGGTTGGAGCAGATGAAACAATTTACCTAGAGTAGGCAGAGTCTTGGGAATTGACTCTAGAATTTTGACAAGGTTCAAATACTTACAAAGAAATTCCTATTTTCCCATGTTGACTATTTTGAAGATTCAAAAATATATATCTCAAATTCTTTAAAAAAATTTGTGTCACCCCTACTTTGCTGGTACCTATTTCATAATATTCCACTGAAGAAAATATTCCACTGAAGGGAGGCAGCCAGACATTGGAATTCTATGTGCTATGCAGATGAAACAGCAAGTTCAAACACTCTTAAACAAAAATATCTTAGAAAAGAAAAGCATATGGCTACAGTTTAATGACTAAATGGAAGAGTGATTTGATATGAGAAATAGGCAGGAGAGTTAAATCATGTAGGACTTTATAAGCCATAGCAAAGAGTTTAGATTTTATTCTATATGGAAAGGAAAATCACTGAAAGATTTTTAAGCAGGGGAGTTTATGATCTCACATTTTAGTAGAAAAAATCAGGCTGCTGTAAAGACTCTATTACTACATGGCAAAAAGGCATAAATGAGGAGACTGGTTAGGAAGTTGAGGTGGGTACTGGGGTCAGAACCATCCCATAGTAGGATGTTAACAATGGAGATGGTTAGAAGTAGAGGTAGAACCTGTCAAGAACTGTGAAAGGTTTTTACCCTGTTGCAATCTACCAGGTTAGCCTGCCACAGTTTCAGAATCCTTGTGTCAGAAGACATGAGACTCCTGATTCAGAAACAAAGAACTTTATTACTCATAGCCATAGCAATAGCCAGAGTATCAACACTTCTGTACATTCCTTGAGTCCTGATTTCTTTTTTTTTTCTTAGATGGAGTTTCGCTCTTGTCACCCAGGCTAGAGGGCAATGGCGTGACCTTGGGTTCAGGCAACCTCTGCCTCCTGGATTCAAGCGATTTTCCTGCCTCAGTCTCCCAAATATCTGGGATTACAGGCACATGCCACCACACTGGGCTAATTTTTGTATTTTTAGTAGAGACAAGGTTTCACCATGTTGGCCAGGCTGGTCTCAAACTCCTGATCTCAGGTGATCTTCCCACCTCAGCCTCCCAAAGTGCTGGGATTACTGATGAGAGCCACTGCACCCAGCCTCGTCCTGATTTCTACAAGGCAACGCAGAGTGGGCTAGGACACCTGCATAAGCAGTACTCAAAAGAGGATCAGTGTTACTTACTTTCTTTTTGCCTTAGGATCAAATATACAACAGCATGGTGCTGTTATTGATCCTATCCTTATTTAAAAAGTTGACATTGTGTTCATCATGGGCTTAGCATTTTTGATGTTTTAAATATTGCATTATTGTCTTGATTAATGCATTTTTGATGCCTCCTTAAATTTGTATCTCAGGCAAGTGCCTCACTTGCTTCACACCAGCCCCAGCCCTACCTTTCCCCTAATAAGTTAGGATGGTGATTTGGGTGTCTGTCACCAACAAGGCATAAAATTTTGAGTTCCTCCCCTCTCTGAAGTTCCTCAGCATACTTAGTCTGGTGTGTATGGACTTCACCCACCCTTCAGGATGGGGAAATTTTAATCTAGCCTTAAGTAATATTTTCCTTAATCAGCTAAAATTAGGATGGGGGAGGGGAGTAGAGCAGCACAGTGAGAGAGCAGCTCCTTGCCAATAAATAAGACACATTTGTTTTCAGTTTTAAGCACTCAGCAGCTACCTATGGCTCAACCATATGAGGTCCAATATTTTTGTGCACCTAAAAGACTAAATTATGAAATAAGATCATCATTACTGTCACTATTGGCTTCAACTTTGATGACCCATTGACTAAGAAGCCAGAGCCTATAGCTTTCTGGCTGGAACTCATGGCTTGTTCACTTAACTAATTTGGCCTTTACTCACACACCAAGTGTGTTTTGCTTCTTTTTGATACAAAATTAACAGAGCATTTGCTCTCTCATCATGATAATATCTCTTAGGGTCTTGCCTTCTTTTAACATAAGGGTTGGGGAAGTTTTCCAGGGCTGTCGCTGATGGTAGGAATTTGTCTAGATTTCTTTGCATACCTTTCTCATTCTTTGTCAACACTGTAAACCAATCCAGGTGAGTAAGCGCCCAAATACAAATCAGTGCCTCATCTATATCTTCCCAGAAAGCTAAGTTCCACTGAAAAACAAACAAAACAAAACTCTGAATCCTTTGACTGTCATCTTGGAATGAATCTAAGTTTGGAATAAGAAACTACAGCTGGGGATTAATCCTTCAAGGGCCCAGCTGTTGCCATTCTTCCTTAACAAGCGTATGTGTCTTGTTGTCTCAACCTCCCAAGGAAACCAGTCAAAGTTTGAATGATTCACCTGGCTTCTACCTTCTCTGAAAGTCTCTCTCTCTCTCAATGCTCAGTGAAGGTACATGTCTCTGCAATTTTTGTGTAAAAGAGAGTGGAATTTTCTGCCTACCCAGGACAAATGTTAGTACTAGTTATTAGAATCAAGTGAATCTGAATCCAAATGGGGAGGAAATTCACCCCACTCTACCCTCCAGAGAAGAGTTAACAACAGCCAAGGCATCAGTCTAGCAGCTGAGTTTGAACATAATTCCTGTTCCTCAAACTTCGACCACATCTCCAAATCCTTCTCCTTAACAGGAAATAAAGTGGAACACTATTTATTCTTGGTTAATCATACAATTTGGTCAACATGTTTGCTAGTGATTCCCACAGACTTCCTCAAATTCTGTTAATCAGCCCCTGAAACGCTCATATTTTCTTTCTGAAAAAGCCATGTGTCTGTTGGCGTTTCTTCCTCATTGTCAAAACTGTCAAAGACTGTAGTGCCTGAGATTTTACTATACTTACAAGGCAACAAGTTAGCCTACCACAGTTTTACTAATGCTAGCAAAAACCTTTATGACTCACAGCAATAGCAGTAGCCAGAGTGTCAATATTTGCACAGGTTTCCTGAGTGCCACTTCTCACAGGGTTACACAAAGTAGTCCAGGTGACCCCTGTACCATCAGTGGGTTACATCACAGGAGAGGAACTCTGAGACTAGGGAACCTGAATCTTTTATAATGAATAGTATGCTGCCCTTTGTTCTAGAGGTAGGCACTGTCTCTATCTTCTAAAGCTCTTTGCTACACAAAATCCTTGAAAAGACATTCTGGAACAAAGGCAGTCAGAGCCTTGCTCACAAAATAACATGAGAGGCTCATGTAGAATAATTTCCCAACAGAATTTGCTGTTGGACTGGATGTGTAAGTGTAAAGGCAATGGTAAAGTCAAGGATGGTCTTTGGCTTGCACACTGGGTGGCATTTGGTGCCACTTAAACAGTGACACTTGGGGAAAGGGACCAAATTTTGATTACATTATTACGATATGCCTATTTCATTACCAAAAGAATATGTCATGGTGGCAGTTGAATATTTAATTCTAGAAGCCCACAGTATAGGTCAAAACCAGTAATAATTGATTTGGACATCATCAATATTTAAGCCATGAAACTCAGTGGGATGGTGAAGAAAGAGAGTCCACAACTAAGCTCTGGGGAACTCCAGCACTTAAAGTTCAAGTAGAATAGATAACTAAGACAAAGAACAACCACTGAGGGAAAGATGTGTCCAGGAATCCAAAAGGAAGGAAGTGATTAACTGTGTCAAGCATTGCTGCGAGTTCGACAAAGATGAAAACAGAGCATCGTAAGCTGGTAGTATTCAAAGGGTCAGAACACAGAATTACAGATAAAAACAGACTTTTAATAGTGTGACTTACTGAAGGAACTGGATAACTGAAACTATGAGACTGATATTTGGGCTTTGTAATAAATAAAAGCTATTTCAATTTTATAACAGGTATACTGAATAAACATGGTGCACAAACTATGATAAAAATGCAATTTTAGTGCTCCTTCCATTATCTCTTCAGTATTTAGCAAGGGTAATCATCCCCCACCTTGGGATGGAAATTCCTGTGCACGTATTCAAACACCAAATGTTCACTACATGTGAGGCTCAGTTCTGGTGCTGGGGATAGCACAATGAGAAAAAACATCCATGACCTTGGTAGGCCCATGAATTTATATGCTTTTAGGTAACATAAGGTACTACCATCATTTTCAATTGAAAATTGTCTTTATTAAGAAATTAAAATATATAGTCCTATGTAATGATCAAAACTGTGTCTTCACATTCAATCTCATTTCCTCCTGAGGTCTGGCCTGTCTTAGGCTGAGAGCCTGCAGTAGTTGGCATCTTCCTTGGTGCTTATGTTCCCCAATCCACCAGTTGCTACTTCCCTCTCAGCGCTGATTAAAGAGTAATAAGGAAGCAGTTGGACAGTTCTTTGTGGCTAGATGACTTTATGATCTCTAAGTCCACACATGGAAAGATACATCCTTCAGATGCCTGGAAGATGACTAGAGGGCGTTTTCATCTTTCATGTGATCTTTAGAAATTACCCTCTGGCCTTTTCCCCTGCAGGACCTTGAGTGAGTTGACTGGGAGATCTCTATTTTGATTTGTCTCTGGTGGCTCCATTCCCATTCTCAGGGCATCCAGCTATCCTACCCCAAGCCTCTTTCTGTGAAGGTCTCCAGGCCAAGACATAAGCCCAAGACCATGCATAATGGTTTTTGTGTGGCCCATCTTGTCCATGCATACCATTCACATAACCTTTGCTTTGATAAATTCTCAGAACAAAGGACTACCTCAAGACAGTAGCAAGTTTTATGCAATGCCAATAGAGCAACTAGCCTTTTCCTCACCTTCTAGATTTCCAAGGCAGGAATCAGGTCCCAATTCAGGGCATCCTCTTCCTGCAGAAACACCTGACTTTTTGTAAATGGCCACACTGAAGCACTCCTTGCTAGGCTTTCAGCGAGGAGACAAAAATCACAGTACAGCTTTGCCCAAGATCCCCTCCTCCTAAAAGCCTCTCCTCACCTCTTCTTGTAATGTCTTAAAGTGTGTGAGTAGTTTTAAGAGTTACAGAAATGCTTTTAGAAAAGGTTTCCTGGAAATTTTGCAAATTTGGATTTGTCTCCCCCTCCCATGATCTCTGATATCCTTCACACTGGCTTCAGAGTCATAGGCAGGAACTGAGGCAGAAAGAGGACAATGCTAACATCATATTATACATATACGTAGAAAACAAATTGTCCCAGATTCAGATTTATGAAGGCTTTTGCATCACAGAATCAGATAGCAGCTTGTTTTCTGAGAATTTGACAAGAAAGGAGCCTGCAATTAGGGGTCCCAAGGTGGAGAGCACTGGACTAGTTAAGAGAGACAAGAACTTTAAAATGACGAGGATGGATTATGCTTTCAGGATTCAAAGTAAGCAAGGCCTAAAGAATTATGCCACAGGGCAGGCTGAATTTTTTTTAAAAATCAAAAGTAAAATGAAGCATTCTAAAATTATGTGGCTTCTCCAGTTATGTGTTCAGTCTTCAGCTTTCCTTGATTAGAGAGGAAGGTCAGAGACTTTACAGAAATGTTTTATAGATGCCTAAAGTCATTTAGGACATTTGAAATTATGCTACTTTATAATAGCATGTGCCTAAGGGGAAAGGAAAAAAATCTAAAGTTACTCTGGGATGAGAATGAGAAGACATGATAAACCCTGGTTCTGAGGAACTTTCAGGGTAAACAAAGAGGGAGAAGTGAAAATTACCTGTCAAGAATGGGTGTATAGAAGCCTAGAGAACATGAAGATTGAACAGTTAGTACCTGATGAATCAAAATTCCAGAGATGCCAATAAGCAAAAGCAAAGGTACCACAGAAGAAAGCTGACAGTGATCCCCAACAAAGAATAGGGAAACCAGTAGCTGATAGGCAGAGCTTCCAGCAAGCAAGGGAGATAGAAGAATGTAAAAAACAAACAAACAAACAAACAAAACAAATTTGTTTATAATAACCTTAAATCTTAAAGAAGCCAAGTTCATAGACTGAAATCATCAGCAATCTGGCCACTTCATCATTGAATATGTTTTACT
Source organism: Homo sapiens (assembly GCF_000001405.40). Taxonomy (NCBI): domain Eukaryota; kingdom Metazoa; phylum Chordata; class Mammalia; order Primates; family Hominidae; genus Homo; species Homo sapiens. The sequence goes on from NC_000007.14 coordinate 86,850,045, forward strand.
ATTTAAGATTCCACCTTCTGTGGCTTTGCAGAAATATCTTTATAAAAATATAAAGAAAACAAACAAGAAAATCCATGTGAAGTCTTGGCAAGCATTCAGAAGCACCCCACACAAATGGTGTTTGCTTGCAAATCCTAAGCAATATTTCCAAGACTACCCCAAACATAGAAGATTCAATATAATTACTGTATTGATTTGGCTACAATAAGGACAGAGCTGTCAATTATTCTGGATTTTTCATTTTGGTCTTATTTCAGCACTCTCTTTAGTTGGCCACTTGACTGAATGTACAGCCAGACACTTACTAGCCAACCTTCTCTTGTAGGTGCAGACGACAACCATGTGCATCTCTGTCAGCCTGAGTGGCTTTGTGGTCTTGGGCTGTTTGTTTGCACCCAAGGTTCACATCATCCTGTTTCAACCCCAGAAGAATGTTGTCACACACAGACTGCACCTCAACAGGTTCAGTGTCAGTGGAACTGGGACCACATACTCTCAGTGTAAGTATGGAACTCAGCACTAACTCCTTCATACATAGCATTGTAGTCAGGACCAGCCTGCCAAGAACAGGCAACACATGTCTGTCCCCATGAACAATCTCAATTCGATTTTACTAAGTATGGATTTAAACACTGTGAGTCAGGTATTGTGCTAAGTGCTGGGGATTCAGTAAGGAGCAAAGAAGTCAAAGTTTCTGTTTGGGCAGCACATACAGTCTAGCAGGGAACAAAGACATTAAATACATAGCTGCAGTGAGGGGTTTGACCATGTTGTGGGGTTAGATAACCTGGTCTCTCGTCCTGTTCTGCACTCAATTTAATAGATAACTTCAAACAAGTCACTCTATTGCTTTCTGCCTCATTTTACTAATTAAAATAGGGGACTGGGCTAGATTGGTGTTTTATAAAATATATTATATGTCACACAGATGCCAAAGGAGCTTCATGAAAAATTAAAAGGGGAAGATAATAAAATACAATGAAAAGTGCTACATTCCTAATTCCCCCTTGGAAGTTTACAGTACTTCCTTTAACATGAGTGTGTTATAGGTTTTGAGAATCTCTATGCAAGAAAACCTGTTTAACTTTGTTAAAAGTTAAAATACTTTTAAAAATATTTTATCACAGTAAAACTAACATCCCGTGGAACACACCTTGGAAAATGCTGGAATAGATCTTCCTCCTACTTCAATGACACAATGTTTTCTCAGCTTAGAAGGCAGTGTGAACTGAAGGATACTAGGATAGTTCCCAGTCCCTAATTCTCTCTGCTACTGGCCTGCAAATGTCTGAAACACTATCCTTAGAGAATCATTGATTTAATTCTTTAGAGTTCTCTAAAGCACAAATGTGCCTGAAGGGGATAACCTTTTAAGCCATTTTCAGCTAAATTGTGGTATGAAGTAGAAGCAATTCACTGACACTGGATGAGGGGGAAGAAAAGAACTGGAACCATGAGAGGGGAAGGGAGGACAGAAAGTGACAGAGACAAATGACTGCTTCACAATTTTGCCTCGAGTTGATCAGAAAGGATACTTCAAAATAGCTCAGCATCACAGGGTCAGCAATCACATTAGCGCCCCAATTTCTCTACCAAAGTACAGAATTTAACAGGGCAGCCCTTCCCCCAGGAAACTGAAGGAAGACTGACAGTCTGAGAGCACATGTTCATGGATAGGCTGCACATTCCTGTCTTTCCAGCTAAACTCCAACGTGTCACAAAAGTTGAGCTTCAGGGCATGGCAAAGCCTGTGAGGTCGTTTTCCATGGATCTTAGAGAAATATGTTGATTTCTTGAGCAAACAAAGCTCTTTTTAGCAGACTAATCTTAACAGCTACCTAGTCCAGCCCAGAGAGAACTGTCAATAACTAATAAAAATATTAACAACAGGTAACAGGAACTTTCATTTGTTGAGTGTTTTTCATATGCTGGGCACCATGCTAAATACTTTACACACATGTGTGTATGTGTGTGCTGTCTTATTCAATGCTCCAACCCCTTAAGGTAAAGAAACTCACCCAGGGTCACACACTTTAAAAATGGCAGAAACAGAATTTAGAGTCAGTTCCTATGATTTCAAAGCCAGTGCACCTAACTACTGTATCGTGCAGCCTCTTCCAGACAGCAAGCTGGGAAAGTTCTCATGGCCAGGCTTTGCAGAGAGAATAAAAAGAAGGTTATCCAAGCAAAATTGTCTCATTGCTAGCTCAGAACTTTTGCTTGTTATTAGAACAATTTAGCAGAGTCCATAAGTCTTCCATAGACGTTATTCAAAATTGCGTATATCCAGACCTCAGTAATTTAGAAATGGCAGAATTTTCTAATGCATATGCTGGGAATTAACAAATTCCAGAAGGGATAGCAAGGGCACTTTCTCCAATCAAGTCTCTTGTTAGAAATTCAGAAATATCCATCTACATAAAAACAATGTACTGCAACCACAGCAGACCTGTTAAACTATTATTCAGTATGCTAATCTGATAGTGACCCAATTAGTACTTCAAGACAGGTGTTTGAACATTGTTGGAATGTCTTGTTAATAAAATTATAAATAAACTTTTTTTTAAAAAAGGTCTAAATTCAGACCTCATTGTTTCAGCAATATTTCCCTAATCAATACAAATCAATGAAGTAGTACCATGTAACAAAGTGAAGATTTTATATAACATCTCTTGGCATTTTAACGTGCATAAGTAACAAATACATTCACCTGTTATTTGCATTTTTACTCTTTTATTCAAAGTAGTTTTATATTCATGAACTCATTTTATCCTCATGAGTACCAGATATCACAAGTTCTATTTTATAGGTAAGAAAATTGAGAATTGAAGTTACTTCTCAAGGATATACAGTGATACAAGAGTCAAGAGTTGAGCCTGATTTCCTGACTTTCAATTAAAAACTTTCCCATTTTAATAAGTTGGAAGTATTTCATATCAAGAAATTTATTCATTCATTAAATTATTGAGTACCTACTACACACCAAAAATTTCTAAGCACTGTGTACACAGTAACGAATAGGACGGAATCCCTGGCCCCATGAAGCTTGGTGTCTAGGACAGTGGTTTTCATACTGTAGACTGTAAGCCATTATTGGGTCATGAAATTTAGTATCTTTGGCCAGTGCTTTTTAAAAGAAAAAAACAGAAAATCTTAAGAGTGCATTACATGTAATAAAGGTAAGGCATAAAAGGTAAGTCATGAAGAGTTATATGTATATGTATACCAGGTCCGGGTAAAATGTATTTATTTCTATAGATCACAATCAAAGATGTTTAAAGGCCAGTGGTCTATGGAATTGAGTTCTGTGTATGAACATGTTACTGACCCACTTTGGTAGAATTGAAGCAATTATTTAATATCTTAGTGTCTGTTTCCTCTATTGTATATTCAGCTCAATTTATATCCATTTCCCTCCTAAATACTTGGAAGTATGTTGCTTTAGAAATCAAGAACATTCCTTAAACTGCTCTGCGTTCATTAGATAAAGCATATGTTTTTCTTGGGTTGTACATAATTCACGTTCTTCCAGTGAGTATAATGTTAGCACTTTATTTCATTGGGCGATTGTTAATATTGCTGCTGGTTTTCTGACTTTCTCTTCAGAGGTAAAACAAAACCCACTGTAGAGATGAGAGTAAGCTAATATGGAAACAGAGTTATCGCGTTTCCTCCACTTTATCTATTCCTGCATAACAAACTTCTCCATAACTTAAAGGCTTAAAACAATACCTCTTTATATGATTATCTCTTACAGTTTACAAGTCAGGAATTCAGACAGGGCTTGGTTCATCTGCTCCATGAGGCTGACGTTCTTTCATGGTTTTAAGCAGAGACTGAGCTGATCTGGAAGATCCATGATGCTTTCACTCTTATTCCTGGCATCTTGGCAGGAAGCCTGTCCATGTTGGCTCCTAATGAGCAAGTTCCATAAAAAAAGGAAGTAGAAACTGGCTTGGCCAGGAAACTGGTATAGCATAATTGGTACCATACTTATTTATCGAAGCTCAGATTCAATGGGAAGTGCATAGACCCCACCTCTCAAAGAGTCTGTGATTATTATAATTATGCCACACTTTCCAAATCGCCAATTAATCCATTACTGCATCTTATCAAGAATTACAGTGACTTGACACAATCTCGTATAATACCAAGAAGTCACCCCAACTGGAAAGTACAGCCATATCAATTCCAAGTTAATTCTCTGTCAAGAGAGTAAGAGAAATACCACATTACTTTGGAGTCTAGGAGAGCCTCCTGATGGCAGCCAAGGTGGTTGATAGCAGAAAGAGTATTGGTATTGAATTTTTAAAGCTGACCAGTTGCTCCACAAAACTGGAAAAGCATGACCACACTCAGTAGCAGACATGAAAGAATGAACATGGTTAACAACATCTTGGAAAACTGAAAAGTTTTACATATTGCTATGTGCAAAAGAGTACAATTAAAGTTGTGCCTAATTAATTATATACAGTAGAAGTAAGAATAATAAATGACACCTTAATTTTTCTCCATTAAGAATACCCATGGATCAATGATTCCCAGATATTTGTATATGAAAAATAACTCCTTTGAAATGGAGATGCCCTGGTCCCACCCATAGATATTCTGATTCATGTGGTCTGGAGCAAAGGCCAGAAATCTGGTTTGTAACAGACACCCCAGCTGTTTCAATAGAAGTGGTCCAAAGAAAATATTTTGAGAACCTCTACCTAAAACCATCCTTGTCTGCTTCATCCACTGATATCAGTGCAGTCACTGCAGGGAGGTTCTCTAGCCCATCAAAGAGGAAGCAGGGTTTCAGAGAGGGAGTGACATTCTGAATTTCCACCCTTTGCTTCATAATACCAGTGGCCACATCCACATGCAGTGATTTCCCAGGCTCCCTCTGGAACTTTCAGGGAAGTCATTTCCAGCATAGAAGAACCTGGCCGCTCAGAAAACATTTACTAAAAGTGGGCATTCTCCTTCTAATGGCAGTATAACTCACAGACCTTGAAATCCTAAACTCGTACTTTTAATTCTACTCCCACACCCACACACATAAGCAAACATCCTTTGTATATGGATGAAAAAGAGGTCATTTTTATTCTCTTCTGCTCTAGAAGCAAAAGAGATTCCCAGAGTTGGTTCCTAAGGACAGGCAATCAATAACATATGTTGGGAATGTAAGTAGAACTGCATAATATTTAAAGAGACAAGCTGGAAGTACACATGAAGTTACATAGCATAAAACCCTATAGGAGTCATGCAGGTGAGAATATTGGCACTAACATGATTTTGTATCAGCATAGACTGGGGAGAGAAAGGTGAAAAATGAAGTGTGCCCCATAGTCTTCAGAGCTATTATACCCAGACTTGGTCCTATAAGGATATGTGTCTCTTGCTCATGGTAATTGTTCAGATGTATGTATGTCATTATCATGAAGATCAGCCAAGAAACTTCGACTACCCAATGATGCCCAGATTTTGGTCCCCAAGGAGCTGTAGGCATATGGAGATTGATTTTCTCTGCCAAGACAGTCACTTGTCTAGGTGGTAATGTGTGAACTGTTCAATTAATACAATTACTTATTATCACAAAGTTTTTTCGCATTATAAAAAGAAAGTGGTAGTATAAAAAGATTAAGTGAACACTCTTCTAGAATCATGGCATCATTTTCCATACAGCTACAACCATAGAAAGCAAGCACATGAGACCAGACTCTGGCCTAGTTAGCAAGGGGCAATGGCCTAGTTAGCAGGGGGCAAGCCATTGTTGAAGTCTGAATATGACTTTATAAAATAAAAGCATAACACGTAATGCCCAAGCTTCTTCTCTATAGTTCAGCCCCCGAAAAACAGCATCATGTGCCTGTAATCTAAGCTCAGGGAACCCCACATGACACTATGTACTAGCCTGGCCAGGAAAATTAGCAAGGTATTTGGTAATACAAACTGAATTGATGGTCTTTCTTGCCACAGGTATATCATACACGTAAATCTTCAATGGGCAGTGCAGGAAGAACTAGAGTATTCAGCAAGTCAAGCCAGCTGCTTTCATGGAGAATATACCCAAAGCATCTAAACCAGATAAATGTTAATCTATTTTTCCCTTTAGAAAGTTCACAGAAAAGAGGCCAGTCACAGTGACTCATGCCTGTAGTCCCAGCACTTTGGAAGGCCAAGGCAGGTGGATCACCTGAGGTCAGCAGTTGAAGACCAGTGTGGCCAGTATGGCGAAACCCCATTTCTACTAAAAAAATACAAAAATTAGCCAGGCATGGTGGTGTGCAGCTGTAATCACAGCTACTCATGAGGCTGAGACAGGAGAATTGCTTGAACCCGGGAGGTGGAGGCTGCAGTGAGCCGAGATCATGCCACTGCACTCCAGCCTGGGAGACAGAGCAAGACTCCATCGCCCTCTGCAAAAAAAAAAAAAAAAAAAGTCCACAGAAAAGATAACTATTGGGTACTGGGCTTATTTCATCACTTGAAATCTGTGCAGCAAACCCCTGTGACACACTTTTACCTATGTAACACACCTTCACATATATCCCCAAACCTAAAATAAAAGTTAAAAAAAAGAAAGTCCACAGCATTCCTGAGAATCTCATTCCATTCCCTTTTACTCCCTTTGTCATTGTCAATGGAAGAATAGAGTCTCCAGCTACAATAGGTAACTCTACATGTATTAGAGAATTGATGTTTAGTACCTCTCCTTTCTTCTATGTAACACTTTCATTGTGTTTGTCTCACAACTGCTTTTTTCCATCCCTTAAATCATTCTCTCTTTATCTCTAATATGTTGCTAGGTTTTCCCCTAGTAAATATAGCCCACCTTCTTTAATAACAGTGACCACAAATATCAGAGCTGGGAGGGCCACTTTGGAACATTTATTCTAATAACCACATTTCTAGATGAGAAAACTAGGGCCCTATCTACTAGATACTTTAGGAATTTGATAACTAGAGTTATAGATGAAACTCTCAAAGGCTGCTATATTGTTCCTCTGGCCTCCCTGAATTTGCCGCCTCAGCTCAGTTACAAAATTCAGCTCATAGACTATTCTGACAATGAGAATGTTAGCATCTGCAAATTCAATGGTTTTTTTTTTTTTTTAAGTTAAAAGCTTACTTTTCAGCTCTATACCTGATGGCATCTTGTTCTATCAGCATGGGTACAGACTCGTTCATGTAGTCCCATAATGTTCATGGAGTCCCATAATGACACTACGTAGTAGCCTGGCCAAGCAAGTTAGGTTTGAATGTGGCTAGAGGAAGATGAATAAAAGTGAGAATAAGAGGCGAGGAGAACAGAGAGGCATTATAAGGATATTTACTCTTTGACTGAAAGAAATGAGAAAGTACTAGAAGGGTTTCATCAGAGTTGTGGTATGACCTGACTTTAAAAGCATAAATTTTGGCTGTGTGGGCAAAATATAAAAGAGGGAGCAGCCAAAGAGATCATTTAGGAGGCATAGTCCAAATGGTGGTGGTTTAGACCAGAGTGAGAGATAGCAGTAGAAGCCAATAAAGTGTTCTGATACTGTACATAACTTAAAGGTGAAGCTAACAGGATTAGTTCCACAGAAAGGAGACTAAAACTAATTTTATTAGAGTTTAACACTTTTGGTTTTAGACTTTTGTCCCTAGGCATAGTAGCACATGCAACTCATATTAGTTATCTGAGCCTCAGGGTGAAAAAGTTTCTGATCCTTGTCTGAAAACATATTTTGATAGAAAAGAGGAGAAACCAGTGATGTTGGGCAACTAAGAGAGTGAAAAGAATGCAGGATTGGTAGAAAAGCACAGAAAAATGATCCTTTTCATTTACCAATTATTTATTGGGCATCCCTCTTTATACTTTTTGAGGGAAGGAGAAGAGAGTAAATTTTTATTTTATTTTATTTTATTTTATTTTATTTTATTTTATTTTATTTTATTTTTTGAGACGGAGTCTCACTCTGTCCCCCAGGCTGGAGTGCAGTGGCACAATCTCGGCTCATTACAAGCTCTGCTTCCTGGGTTTACACCATTCTCCTGCCTCAGCCTCCCAAGTAGCTGGGACTACAGGCACCCGCCACCACGCACGGCTAATTTTTTGTATTTTTAGTAGAGACGAGGTTTCACCATGTTAGCCAGGATGGTCTTGATCTCCTGACCTCATGATCCACCCACCTCATCCTCCCAAAGTGCTGGGATCACAGGCATGAACCACCATGCCTGGCCAAGAACATGATATTTTAAAGCAACATGATGTGGCAACAATGGAGGGAAGTATTTAGTTGAAGACTGATGGTTTGAATGTGTCCTCCAAATTTCATGTGTTGAAAACTTAATCTCCAAATTCACATCCTGATTGGAGGTGGTGTCTTTGGGAGGGAATTAAGATTAAATAAGGTGATCAGGGTGGGGCCCCCATGATGGGACTGATGGCTTTCACAGGAGAGGAAGAGAGACCTGAACTAGATGCTCACTCTATCTCACCATGTGATGCCTCTCACCATGTCATGATACAGCAGGAAGGCCCTCACCAGACGCCCAGTGCCATGCTCTTGCACTTTCCAGCCTTCAGAACCATGAGCTAAATAAATGTCTATTCTTTATAAATTACCTAGTAAGTGATATTCTGTCACAGAAACAGAAAATGGACTGAGACCAAGTGCTATTTCTGTTGGTAAAGTAATGGGTCATTAAAAAGGGTCATGACATATCTTCTTTTTCCATAAATCTTGTCTCACAAGAAAAGAATCATTGAATGAAGAAGTCACTGCTTTCATACAGTTCTACTCCCCATTTGGAAACTAAATCTTGGATTTGCAGATTTTTATCCCACAGTATAATGAATATGATGATCTTAAATCTACTGTTAACAGTTTAAAACCATTATTTGGGTCATAAAGAGGAAGCAGTCACTGAGAATTCAGTCTATGTATTTTTTCTTTTTTCTTGTTTTTGAAGAGACCTTTTTCACTGACAGGATCTCATTCTGTCACCCAGGCTGCAGTGCAGTGACATGATCCTAGCTCACTGAAGCCTCGAACTCCTCGGCTCAAGTCATCCTGCGACCTCAGCACTTGAGGCACATGCCATCCTGCCCAGCTAAATTTTTTTAGAGATGGGGTCTTGCTACATTGCCCAGGCTGGTCTCAAACTCCTGACTGGCCTCAAATGATCCTCCTACTTTGGCCTCCCAAGGTGCAGAGATTTCAGGCCCAACCCACTGCACCAGGCCCAGTCTATATTTCTTAATAATGAATTATTTGCCTTCCCCTGTGAAATCTCTGACATAGCAAGAATACCAAACCAATGGGTAGTAGTAGTGTCTTCATCTGCCCAGATAACATCTATTATTCAATCACCAGATACAATTCTCCTGAAATGGAACCAAGGGACCCTAGCATAAGTAAAATTAAGATGATGAGTAAGAAAACAGATTCAATGACAAAGCAGGACACAAGACAACAAACAGTTGGTGGAAACTGGATTCCATGACCATAATAGTAAAATATCTAAACAAACAGACTTCCTGGGAAAAAATTATTTGGGGTCATCAGAAGCAAGGAAATGGAACAGATGGAGCAAACTGGAATGTCTGTTCCGTTGAAATGTTTATTTTTTTTCTGAGACTGATGCAAAGTAACACTGCTAAAGTAACACTGACTCTCAGCAACCAGTCTTAGCCACTAAATTGACTAACAGACTTGGCATCCATAAAAATCTATTAAATAAATATATTTAGCATTGATTGAGGGTCCAATTATCTGAAAAAATACAATAATTTTCTCCAAAGTCTGGCTAGCCCATGCATTACTGGTGGAAGAGAAGTGGATTTTGCAGAGCAAGACAAAGCTGCCACTTGGTTACACTGATCTTCAACGTTTCACCAGTTTGTGAAGCAAAATATGCCTTTTGATGGCTGTGAATTACCCTTTTGTGATCAATAGTGGAATTTATAAGGTCCTTTTCCATTTACCTTAAATTTTCACTTTGAATGGCAAAAGCACACCTTATCCTAGAGTATCCAATAGTTACTATTTACCCCAAGTCCCAGGAAAGCCAAAAATAGGGCTACATGCCTCTTATGTCTAGTAGAAAGGATGATTATAGAAATGTGCTTAACCACACTTAAGAAAATGGGCTAAACTTACACCATTAAAAATCTCATGAGGATTTCATCAGAATAACAGAAAAAGCTCATCACAAACATACACACAGAAATGATAGTACTTTGCCCTTCTACATATTTTATTACCTTGGTGAATAACAGACGGGCTAATACAGGAGGCATATGTAAAATATTTATGAAAAGCAAAGTAATTGAGATAATAAGCTCATAAAACAATAATTTTCCCTACTATATTCAACAGCATGTGCAAAAATGAGAATTTTCTTCATAATAAAATGCACCAGCAGAAGCTACCGATGAAATAATAAAAGAGAAGCAGAAAAATATAAGTTAGAGTTCCCTTCGACACATTAAAAAGTATTTAGGGGAAAAAGTAGTTGCAAAAACAGTCTTGTGGGTATTTTTTGCTGTTGCTATTTCTTGTAAGAAGACCTTGAATTTGTATTATCTTCCTCTCAAAGAGTTTAGACATAGGTTGCTCCTTTGAATGTCCCTATGAAGGGGGTAGATGAAACAAAGTTGTTCTATTAACTTCCATGATGATGTCCATGGGGTACATAGTAGATGACTATTTTATACTAGAACTTGAGGATTTTCCATGCAGCTATCTTTTGCAGACTCTGTCCTCCTTACCTAGGCAAGATATACCTAATTTTTAAGAAATTAGAATGCAATGGGCAAGTTGACTCTAAGAGTGCACTCCAAAGCATAGCATTACATCAAGTTCCATAAGAGGACAGGGAACATCAGAGTAGGTTTCAGATACAAACTTAAGAGGGGGTATTTGAATCCTAGGCCTTAGTTCTCCTAGACTTATCCCTGTGACACATTATTCCTCTTCAATCGCTAAAATTTCATTTTTAGCATGCACAGAAATAATACAACTTGATCCTGGAAAAGATAAAGAGATTAGTTAAAATGTCAAAGGCAGCATGCCTGAATGGGAGCTCACAACCTGAGTCAGTTCTCTTGGCAAGGGTAGTTGATGGTCATTGTCACAATGTGGCTTGAGAAGCAAAAGCCCACCTGTCTGAAAATAAGGCTGCCCATAGGCTTCATGTTTGCTGGTCATTTCTTTAGTTTAAAAGATTATTTCCTTCTTGAAACTTCCATTGGTTTCCTGATTCTTTGAAATGCAAACATTTATATGATAATTCAGGAAATATTTATAGACAGTCTATTCCATGACCAGCACTAGGGATAAAATAATGAAACAGATAAGTAAAACCCCTGCATATTTTCTAGTCAAGGGTATAGGATGCTACACCAAAAATAATAATAAGCAAGAAAAAAGGCAGCAACAACTGGGCTAGGCTGAGTTTCAAAACTGGGTGATGTGACAGTAACTGATTGGCTATTATTTTAAATTAAGTGGCCTGATGACTACCTCTTTGAGGTAACATTTCAGATGTGGATGACAAGGAGGAGCCAGACATGAGTAGATCAGAGGGAAGAACATTCCTAGAGAGGCAAAGGCTACTGCAAAGGCAGAAAGTTGAGAAACAGATTTGCTGTATTTGAGAACAAAAGCAAAAAGAAGGAAAAAAAAATTGGAATGAGGTGAACACAAAAAGGGGGACATGGTCCAAATTACGATGGGATTTATAAGCCAGAATAAAGAGTTAGAGCACACAGGGAAGCCACTGGAAGTGCATATGTAGGTGACTTGTATTTTAAAATACTCTCACTGCTGTATAGAGAATATATTGCAACAAAAAAGCAAGAGTGGAAACAGACAGGCCAGTGGTGCAGCTCTTGCAATGATCAGGAGAAACATCATGGTGGGTTGCCCCAGGGTGGTAGATGCAAAGAGAACTGGTTAGACGTAAATCTAGAGGTGAGTGAAACTGATGATAGGTTTGACATGGGGCAGGGTCGAAACAAAAAGGAATGAAACATACATTTTAGATTTTTGGTTTGGGCAATTGGCCAGATGGCAAAACCATTCACTGAGGAAAGGAAAGCTAAATGGAGGCAGGTTAGGGAATCAAGAGTTCAGCTATGGCCACTGATTTTGAAGTGGCTTTTAAACGTACACACAAAGATGTCAAGTAGGCAGTTGGATACAAAAGGCTGCAGAAAAAGCACATATTGAATGACCTAGAGTGCTCTCCTAGGTTTCCAGTAACCCATTTTGAATCTCACTTTGCCTTTCCCTTTCTCTTACCTTACCTACATTTGATGAAGCTGGAATTAGGTACAATATATGGAAATAATTTTTCTAATTAAAGTATTTATAAATAATAAAGCCCTCACATTTGGAATTATGATTATGACCACTTTCCATCAAGTATTTATCTGGCACATACTGTGTTACCAATTTCTTCATTGTAGCAGTTTCAGGAAATGCATATGACACCGTACCTGCCCTCAGAGATATTATAGCTTTTAATGGGCTCGTATTGTAAAGAAAATTGAACCTGATCCTAATAAGAAGAAGAAAAAAATCTCCAAAAGAGTTAGCATGTTGCATGACTCCAGTGTAACTTGAGGTAGCCACACAAACTTGACTTCATAGATTTTTCTTACATACCTAGCCAAGCAATCAATGTAAAATTGAGGGGCTGTAGATTCCCTAGTGGTGGACCTGCTGATAGACTTCAGTGCCCCAAGTATAGTGAATGCTCCCCCACTGAATGCCATATAATCTCACATTTCATAAATAGTTGCTCCTGTTTAAGGAAATTAATAGGAATTTTGCCTAGGTAAAATGAAAATGTAGGGGTCAATTATATATCCACTATCAAGCATGGACATTTAAACATGAAGCCAGTTTATCTGCAGGTTAACTTTGAGATATGCTCTTAAAGAATGGGACAGATGGCTGGTCAATTTGATCTGGGCTGTGATCAAGTACCCCAGAGGATCAGCTCCTACTGGTCAGAGTATATACAAATAGACAGGCCAAGGGGTTGTATGAGAGAGATCTTAAATGTAATGGAACACCATCTCTTTAACCGATTCTCTCGGCTACATGGTTTCAGTCCATAGAGAATGGGGCTCCTTGCTTTTGTTCTCATTCAGTGAAAAGAAAAAGCATTAAGGGTGAAATATATATAACTTATCTGTACCTAGATTTCTCATGAAATAAAACTTTACCAACAACAAGTTAATAGCTAAGAACTGTATCTAGGAAAACTGAGTGCCATAAAAAGAATGAGTATATATATCCATACTATATAATATGGCTAGGGAGTACTTTAGTTTCCTATGACTGGTGTGAGGAATTAGCACAAACTGGGTGTCTTAAAACAATAGAAATTTATTCTCTCTCAGTTATGGAGGCTGAAAGTCTGAAAGGAAAGCATCAGCAGGGCCACACCATAACACTGTTGTCACTATTTGTCATTAACAAGGGCACCATCCCTTTGGAATATCTTTTCTGAGACCCGTTATGAAACTGAAGCTCTTAGCAACCCAGCCCTTACTAGTGTTTTTACTGAGGTTATCCACTTGAACAATGAAAATATATCAAACCAGTCTCTAAGGCAGTGGAGTTCACAGATGACTCACGGACTATATAAGGCTCATCCCTGTATAGACAGAACAAAACTAATTAAGGTACTGAAAACAGTAAATAATTTAGTAACCTATAAAAATTGCAGTGAGCTTTTGATTTTGCACATTGTATTTAAACCAGTTTATAGATTACCAAAGCTAATTTTCAACCCACAAGTGACTTCCTTCAACAATGATTATACTTACAAATTCCCCGCCAAGAGGTATAACGTTAGTGGAGGTATGTTCCAGGTTGCAAACTAATTTGGAGCAGAACATATTTAGAAATTGACCTACAATAGCATTTTAACCATTTAGCACTTTCCAAAGCCAAATTAAAATGAGTTTTTAATTTAATTTTATTTTTTTTCACATTTTTTATTTCCATGGGTTTTTGGGGAATAGATGGTATTTGGTTACATGAGTAAGTTCTTTAGTGGTGATGTGTGAGATTTTGGTGCACCCATCACCTGGGTAGTATACACTGAACTCCAATTTGTAGTCTTTTATCCCTCACCTCCTTCCCACCCTTCCCCCCGAGTCCCCAAAGTCCATTGTATCCTTCATGCTATTACCTTTGTGTCCCACTTGACTAACTTTGAGTTTTCTGTCCCACTTTGTTTTCCAGCCTCTGCAAGCACGTATGTGCCAACGGTGTGCAATGGGCGGGAAGTCCTCGACTCCACCACCTCATCTCTGTGATTGTGAATTGCAGTTCAGTTCTTGTGTTTTTAGACTGTTAGACAAAAGTGCTCACGTGCAGCTCCAGAATATGGAAACAGAGCAAAAGAACAACCCTAGTACCTTTTTTTAGAAACAGTACGATAAATTATTTTTGAGGACTGTATATAGTGATGTGCTAGAACTTTCTAGGCTGAGTCTAGTGCCCCTATTATTAACAATTCCCCCAGAACATGGAAATAACCATTGTTTACAGAGCTGAGCATTGGTGACAGGGTCTGACATGGTCAGTCTACTAAAAAACAAAAAAAAAAAACAAAAAAAAAAAAACAAAAGAAAAAAATAAAAATACGGTGGCAATATTATGTAACCTTTTTTCCTATGAAGTTTTTTGTAGGTCCTTGTTGTAACTAATTTAGGATGAGTTTCTATGTTGTATATTAAAGTTACATTATGTGTAACAGATTGATTTTCTCAGCACAAAATAAAAAGCATCTGTATTAATGTAAAGATACTGAGAATAAAACCTTCAAGGTTTTCCAGCATGGTGGATAATGGTTTGTTCTTTTTGAATAACTCAAGGTAATTTGAATATGACTTCAAATCATTTCTACATTTAATATTAGAAGAAACTGTCTGACTGTGCTTCTGTTCCCATCTATACATACTTCAAACTCAAGTTGTTACTCTGCTGAAGAGTTGTGAGCAGGTTCAGACTTCTCTATGGTCCACAATGATCAGAAATTGACTGGTAGCAACACCATATATATCAGACCATTTCAGTGACAATACACATTTTGGTTTTCTAAAGCCACATCTGGGGGGAAGCCGAGAATTGCCCAGATAGAGATATAAGACAATGAGAGAGTTGCTATGTTCAGAATATAGAGACTGTGGCTGCCAGGGAAGATTTGATGGCTCTCATTTCCAAAAACAACCTTAATTACTACGAAATTGGCAGAATATCTCCTTATTCCACTAGAAAATCACTCTCACCATTCACTGCTGAATGAGGCAATAAAATGCAGGATATCTTGTTTTCTAATTTTTTTTTTCAGTAGCCATGCTCAGGCACATCGGCTTGTCACTAAACTTTAATATTTTATTAACCTACATAAGGGAGTGAACAGGGAAAGCATGGATAAGCTAAAACTGGCTTATTCTTACTAAATACTGTCCTATTTTTATCAACCTTTTACTCACAAATCATTTATGAATGTAGGAAAATTTGCTGAGAATATATGTGTCAGATCCTGTGCCAGGGGCCATGGCTAGGGAGTGCTTTAGTTTCCTATGGCTGGTATAAGGAATTAGCACAAACTGGGTGTCTTAAAACAATAGAAATTTATTCTTGCACAGTTATGGAGGCTGAAAGTCTGAAAGAAAAGTGTCAGCATCAGCAGGGCCACACTCTCTCAGAAGCTCTAGTGGAGGATTCATTCCATGCCTCTTCTAGCTTCTGGTGGTTGCCAGCTTCCTTGGCTTGTGGCCACATCACTCCAATCCCTGCCTCCATCTTCACATCACCTTCTCCTCTGTGTCAGTTTTGTCCTCTGTGTCTCTTACAAGGACACTAGTTATTTGATTTAGGGCCAATCTAGGTAGATACTATAGGATGAGTTCATCTCGGGAGATGAAAAAAGGCACGGCCCTTTTTTCAAATAAATTAACATTCTCAAGTTCCAGGGATTAAGATGTGGACATATCATTTTAGGGGCCACTTTTTATCCCACAACAGAAAAAAGAATGAATAAGTTGTAGTGCCTGCCTCTAAGAAGCTTAAAGACTGGAAAATATTATGATGAGAGGATGTTTGTGACACAAGGAAGACAGTGAGAGGAAAGATGAGGAGAATCAGGATATGAAGTATCCACAGGCTAAACAGTCAAGGCCTGAATAATCAAACACAATTATACTATTTTAAAATGCCTGAAAATAAGTAACAGGTACACAAAAAGCCAACAGGACTGGCTTTGGAGGAAATAAAAGAGTCAGATGTTAGAAATTCTTCTTTTTCTTCTGGATGCATTTGAATCAGCAACCTAATCAAGCAATCCAAAACTCACCAGATGCTCAAAGACAATAGTGTTCACCAGTGTCTAATTCCCATATTCAAATAAGAACCTGTAATCTGGGGAGGGGAGCTTAGATTGGATAATAGATTCAACAGCACTAAATGACAAAAATGAATTCTGCTGTGACTGAAACTGGCAGGAGTGCTAGATAAGTGTGTTAAGAATGAGCATTGCTCAGGATAAAGGCTGAGGCAAGGCTGATGGGAGATAAACTCAGTCCTCTGATGGAATGTGACAGTCTGAAGAAGGCAATATCAGATGGGTTGTGCAGAGACATGGCTGATGCCTCAAACAATCAAACTGATTATGTATCTTTTCAAACAAGACAATTAGGCGTGTATATAAATCTTCAGAAAACTGTGTTTTTGAGAGGGCTGGGTTTTGATCTATGCCCACTGTATTTCATGCCCTGAAGATATAATTTCATGCATTAACTGACAGCTCTTGTCATTTTCTTTTTCCTTGCCACAAGCTTTGTTTCCAATTGGAAGTGCATCATCTAACATGTGATCTTTGGAAATATTTTTTAAAATATTCAACATATGTATGAAAAATAGCAGCTACAAAATCTTTTACATAAGCTATTTCAAGCAAATAAGTTTTTGGTTGATTTTTTGCTCCAGTAACATTTCATCAGTTCACAATATGAAACTGGTTGAGCCAGTCCATCATTGCAAAAAACTTCCTGAATTTAAGAAAGCCAAGCAAAATGATATATCCCACTCATTAAAAAAAATATCAAGGTGACATCAGGAATATGGCAGAATAGGAAGCTCCTGCTTCTCCCTCTACCCACGAATCTACAAAAAAAAAAAAAAAAAAAAAAGCATCTATTCACAGATCAATTCCCTCTGAGAGAAAGTTAGATACCAGTTGAGAGACTCCTACCCACCAGGCAACTGAGAAAACACCCACATCAAACAAGTAGGCACACTCAGACACAGAGTCTCCCCAGGCACTGAGCCATAAAATCTTGAACGGAATCCCCAACACCCAGCTTCTCCCTGTGGAGAGGAGGATTTGGACCCACATATAACACCCTAACTCTAAGAATTCCCTTGGCTTGACACTTAATTCACCAATTCTGGGAGCAGAAGGGATTAGACATAAAAGTCTCGCTAGACCACAGTGAAAAAGCATCAGTGTTACGCAAGCAGGCAAGCACTTCCAATGGCTTCATGCCCCAGGAGAGGTGCAGAAAAAGGCTTAAAAAATGTAGCCCTTTGTCTCCCTGGAAGGGACACATTCTCCCAGTGTTTAATTGGCAGCCTGACTTGTAACTAACTTGCTTCAGGGAGTTAAAGAACAAATAACGCACTGGCAGTCTGAGAAGCAGATCAGCATTTCTTAAGGTTTCCCCTCAGTTCACACCAGCAATAACTCCAGGTCTATTAATCTATCCTGGAAGGAATTTGTTCACACACCGAGCACCCCAACTTTTACAGCTTTCACCCAAGGGACTACATCCTAAACCTTCCAGCTCTGGGAGCAGAGGGGACTGGCATATATGTTTCTGTGGACCAGAGGAAAAAGGCAGTGTTTTATACAAGTATGCAAACATTTCCAGAGCCTTGGTCCCACAGGAGCAGTGCAGAGAAGGGGCTAAACTCAGCCCTGTTTCTCTCAAGAAGGAGTTTAGAGCATACTTTTCCAGTGGCTACTTGGCAGCCTGGCTTCCAACTAACTTGCATCAGGGAGTTAAGGAGGCAGATAAATATTAACCCACCACCAGCCTGAGAAGCAGATTGGCTCTTCTGGAGTCTTCTCTCCAAGTTCACCACAGTGATAACTCCAGTTCTATTAATTTTTCCTGGAAGGAGCTTGTCCATGCATTGAGTGTCCCAGCTTCTATCCAAGGTACTGCATCCTAAACATCCTACCTCTGGGAGCAGAGGGTACTAAGTATATGTGAGTCTACCTAGACCAAAGAAAAAACTGGCAATTTTATATACATGTGTAAGCACTTACAGGGGCTTCATTCCCTAGAAGCAATGCAGAGAAGGGGCTCTAAGCAGGCAGCTCTTTGTTTCTTCCTGGAAGGGGTTTATGCCTTTCACTGAGTGCCCCAGCTTTTACAGCTACCACCCAAAGGATTCCATTCTAAACCTCTTAGCTATGGAAAAAAGGGGACTAGGCATATTCAAGATTCCATAGATCACAGAATAAAGAGGTGTTTTTAAGTGAGCATGCAAATACTTCCAGGGGCTACATCTCCTTGGAGCAATGCAGAAAAGAGTGAGAACATGCAGCTTCCATTTCCTCTTCAGAAGGGGCTTATGGCACACAGTGACAGTGGCTACTTAATGGCCTGGCTTCTAATGAACTTGCACTGGGGAGTTAACAGGGAAAAAAAAAAAACAGAGTAGCCCTCAGCAACAACCAGAGCCAAAGCCTGAAACTTCATATGCCTTTCCTCTAGCTCACCCAATAATAAATCCAGGTCTACTCATTCTTCTTGGAAGGAGTTTGGTCATGCACCAAGTGCCACAACTTCTATATCCCACTCAAGTGACTGTCTCCTTAATGATCCAGCTCTAGGAGCCAATGGGGCTTTGCATTTATGAGTGGTCCTAGACCACAGAAAAGAAAATGGTCAATATACAATGGGCCTACTTTCAGCAGCTATCTCCCCAGAATCAGAGAGTGCAGCCTGAATATGAGTTCAAGCATTTGCCACAGATCCTCTCCCTGGCTTACTGCAGAAAGAGTGGGAGATAAATATCCATGCCCAGCTTCACAGTGAAGAGAGAAAAAACTAGAACATATATTCAAATTCAACACCCTAACCTTTCCAGGTACATCTAGGGAGTCTGGATTCTAACTTACTTGTCTCAGAGTACTGACAGGATATGACATATCCTAAGCTCCAGGGGCCACCAAAAACACCGATAGCAGTCTGGACAGACGCATAGATTTGAGAGGTAACTTAATATCTCTGGCTAGATGGACTGGTGAGGTACTTCTACAAGAAGCCAATCTGACACGACTTGGAGAGGTAGTTGTTTTATCTCATGTGCAGATACCAACACAGAGGGTCAAGAAAACAAAGTAAAGGTGAACATATCCTAAATAAAAAAACAAGATACATCTGAAACTGACCCAAGTGAAGTGGACGTATGTGATTTACCCACAGAGAGAATTCAAAATAATGGTCATAAAGATGCTCATTGATGACAGGAGAACAATGCAAGAACAAACTGAGAATTTCAACAAACAGAAAATATTAAAAATTACCAAACAGAAATCAGCAGAGCTGAGGAATACTACAGCTGAATTGAAAAAATTCAATAGAGGGATTCAATAGCAAAATAGATCAAGCAGAAGAAAGGATCAGCGAGAACTTGCACAATCTGAGGAGCAAAAAGAAAAAAAAAATGAAAAAGAGTGAAGATAGGTTAAGAGACTATGGGGACACCATCAAGTGTAAGAACATGCAGATTATTGGTGCACCCAAAGGAGAAGAGACAGAAAAAGGGAAAGAAAACATATTCAAAGAAATAATGGAAGAAAACTTCCCAAGCCTGGGACAACAAATAGAAATATAGATCCAGTAAGTCCAAAGGATACCAAATAAACTAATCCAAAGAAACCCACACTGAGACACATTATAATCAAAAGTTGAACACAATATATTTTAAAATAACTTAAAAAGTATAATTGGATTATTTGTGACTAAAAGGATAAATGCTTGAGGGGATGGATACCCCCATTCTCCATGATGTGCTTATTTTACATTTCATGCCTGTATCAAAACATCTCATATACCCCATAAATATATATATATATCTACTATGTACCCACAAAAATTGAAAATAAAATAAAAGTTAAAGACAAAAACAGAGTGCTGAAAGCAGCAAAGGAAAAGAGAATTGTTACATACAAGGGAAACTCCTCCAGATTATCAGGGGATTTTTTTTTTAGCACAAATCTTGCAGACTAGAAGAGAGTAGAATGATATTCAAAATGCAGGAAAAAAATTTCAAAAATACGCTACTCAGCAATCTTATCTTTCAAAAATGACAGGGTGATAAAGACTTTCTAAGACAAACAAAAGCTAAGAGTTTCTCACCATTAGAGCTGCCTTACAAGAAATGCTAATAGGAGTTCTCCCAGGTGAAGGAAGAAGATGTTAATTAGTAACATGAAAAAATATGAAAGTATAAAACTCATTGGTAAAGATACGTCCATTGTAAAATTCAAAACCCTCTAATACTGTAATAATGGTGGGTAAACAATTATATCTCTAGTATAAAAATTAAAAGGCAAAACTATTAAAAATAACTAAAGCCACAATAATTTTTTAAAGATAAAAACTTTTTAAAAATGCAATTTATGATATCAAAAGCATAAAAGTTGGTAGAAGGGGAAGTAAAAGTGTATACAATCAAATTTATACATTATCAGCTTAAAATGCACCATTATAAGATGTTTTATAAAATCCTCAGGGTAACCACAAAGCAAAAGTCTCTAATAGATAAACGAAGCCAAAAGAAAGGATCCAAAGCATACCATTATAAAAGTCCTCAAATCACAAGGGAATAAAGTAATAGAGGATGAAAGGAACAAAGAACCTACAAAACAATGAACAAAATGGTACTAGTAAGTTGTTATCTATCAGTAATTACTTTGAATGGAAATGGATTAAATTCTCCAATAAAAAGGCATAGAGTGGCTGAATGGATTAAAAAAAAAAATAAGACCCAAGTATATGCTGCCCACAAGAAATTCACTTCACCTTAAAAGAATACTCATAAATTGAAAATGAAGGAATGGAAAAAGATATTCCAAATAAATGGAAACAAAAAGAGAGCAGTGGTAGCTATACTTATTTCAGACAAAATGAACTTTAGGTTAAAAATTGGAAAAAGAGAAAAAGAAGGTCATTATATATTGATGAAGGTGTAAATTCATCAAGAGGATATAACAATTATATATGCACCCAACATCAGAGCACCTAAATATATATATATATTTTTATATATATATACTTATATATATATTTATATATATACTTGTATATATATTTATATATATATAAGTATATATATATTTTTATATATATATACTTATATATATATATATAAAGCAAGCATTAAGAGATCTAAAGGGAGACATAGATTGCAACACAATAATAGTAGGAGATGTCAATACCACACTTTCAACATCAAACAGGTAATCCAAAAAGAAAATCAATAAGGAAACATTGGACTTGAACTACACTTTAGACCAAATGGACTGAAAGACATATACAGAACACTTCATCCAACAGCAACAGAACATACATTCTTACCAAGTGCACATGGAACACTGATCTTACGGGTCATATTCTAGGCTAGATTATATATTAGGCCAAAAAACGTGTCTTGACAAAAGATACTTCAAGTATCTTTTCTGACCAAAATAGTATGGAGCTAACAATCAATAACAGGAAGAATCACAGAAATGTAACAAATATGTGGAAATTAAACAATATGCTCCTGAACAATTATTGGGTCAAAGAAGCATTTAAAAGGGAAATTAAAAAATACCTTGAGGACAAATGCAGTGGCTCATGCCTGTAATCCTAGCACTTTGGGAGGCCGAGGCAGGCAGATAGCTTGAGCTCAGGAGTTCAAGACCAGCCTGGGCAATGTGGTGAAACCCCACGTCTACAAAAAATACAAAAACAGCTGGGTGTGATGGTGTGCATCTGTGGTCCCAGCTACGTGGGAGGCTGAAGTGGAAGGATCGCTTGAGCCCAGGGGGTGGGGTTGTAGTGAGCGGAGACTGCACCACTGTACTCCAGCCTGGATGACAGAGTGAGACTCTATCTCAAAAATAATAATAGTAAAGAAATAAAAATATAACTTGAGACAAACAAATATGGAAACACAATATACCAAAACATAAGGGATGCAGCAAAAGCAGTTCTAAGAGGGAATTTTGTAACAATGAACACCTATATCAAAAAAGAAAAAAGATCTCAAATAAACAACCATGTTACACTTCAAGGAACTTAAAAACAAAACAAAACAAAACAAAACAAAAAAAGCCCTAAGCCCAAAGTTAGCAGAAGGAAGACAATAACAAACATCGAGAAGAAATAAATGAAACAGAGACTAGAAAAACAGTAGAAAAAATTTAGGAAAGCTAAACAAAACGGACAAACCCTTACTTAGGCTAAGAAAAAATAGATAAGACTCAAATAAATAAAATCAGAAATAAAAGAGGAAACCTTAAAACTGGTAACACAGAATACAACTGATCTTAAGAGGCTACTATGAACAATTAGACATGAACAAATAGAACAATCTAGAAGAAATGAATAAATTCCTGGAAATATATAACCTTCTGAGACTATATCACAAAGAAATATGAAATCCAAACAGACCAATAATGAGTAAAGAGATTGAACCAGTAATTTAAAATCTATCATCAAAGTCCAGAACCAGATGGTTTCACAACTATATTCTATCAAACATTTAAAGAATTAAGTTTGAGTTCTTTCTCAAACTCTTACAAGAAAACAGAACAAGAGGGAATATTTCCAAACTCTATACTATAAAGCCAGCATTATCCTAATACTAAAGCTGGAGAAGGACACTACAAAAAAAAAACTACAGGCCAATATGACTGATGAACACAGATGCAAAAATACTCAACAAAATACTAGCAAACTATATTCGACAATATATTAAAAAGATATTTCACTATGATCAAGTAGAATTTATCCCTGGAATGCAAGACTGGCTTAAAGTATGCAAATCAATAAATGTGATTCACTATATTAACAGAATAAAGGACAAAAACCATATGATCATCTCAACAGATGCTGGAAAAAAATTAGAGATTTAAAAAATGTTCCTCAACACAATAAAAGCCATGTATGACAAGCTCACAGCTAACATCATACTCAACAATGAAAAAGTAAAAGGCTTTTTCTTTGTGATGAGGAAAAAGACAAAGATGCCCACTCTCAACACTTCTGTTCAACATAGTACTGGAAAATGCTAGTCAGAGCAATTATGCAAAAGAAAGAAAAGGCATCTAAACAGGAAAGGATGAAGTGAAAGTATCTCTATTTGCAGACGAAATGACCTTACATATAGAAAATCCTAAAGACTCCACCAAAAAAAACTGTTAGAACTGATAAATGAATTCAGTGAAGTTGCAGGATACAAAATCAACTTACGAAAATCAGTAGTGTTTCTATATACTAATAATGAATTATCTAAAAAAGAAATTAAGAAAACAATTCTATTTACAATAGCATGAAAAATGTGAAATACTTAGGAGTAAATTTAGCCAAAGAAGTAAAGGATGTTCATACTGAAAAACTATAGAACATTGATGAAAAAAATTGAGGATGGCACAAATAAATGGAAAGATATTCTGTGTTCAAGGATTGTAAAAATATTGTTAAAATGTTCATACTATCCAATGTGATTTACAGATTTGATGCAATCCCCACTAAAATTCCAATGTCATTCTTCACAGAAATAGTAAAAAACAATTCTAAAATTTGTATGAAACCACAAAAGACTGAATATCCACAGAAATCTTGACCAAAAAGAACAAAGTTGGAGTAATCACTCTACACGATTTCAAAATATAGCACAAAGCTATAGTAATCAAAATGGCATGGTATTGGCATAAAAACAGGCACATCAACCAATGGATTAATATAGAGAGACTATTAACAGAAATAAGATCACACACCTCCAGTCTTTTACTTTTCAACAGAAGTGCCAATAACACACCATGAAGAAAGGACAGTCTCTTCAATAAATGGTGTAGGGAAACCTGGATATCCACATGCAGAAAAATGAAATTAGGTTCTTATCTCACCTCTTATACAAGAATCAACTTAAAATAGATAAAAAACATAAATTTAAGACCTGAAACTGTAAAACTACTAGAAGAAAGCATGACGGGAAAGCTCCTTGACACTGGTCTGAGCAGTGATTTCTTGGACATAATCCCAAAAATATAGGCAATGAAAGTAAAAATAGACAAATTGTATTGCATCAAATTAAAAGCTTCTCCACAGCAAAGGTAACAATTAATACAGTGAAGAGATAAACCACAGATTAGAAGCAAATATTTGCAAATTATTCATTGAATAGAGGTTAACATCCAAAATATGCAAGCAATTCAAACTACTCAAGAAGAAAATAACTCTATTACAGAATGGACAAAGGATTTGAATAGACATTTCTCAAAAGAAGACATACAAATGGACAATATACTCAATATCTCAAATTATAAGAGAAATGTAAATTAAAATCACAATGAAATATCACCTCACACCTGTTGGCTTGGCTACTAGCAAAAAGATGAAAGAGAAGTGTTGGTAAGGATGTGAAGAAAAGGGGAACTTTGGTAGTACTGTAAATTAGTATAGCCATTTTGCAAAACAGTATGGAGGGTCCTCAAAAAATGAAAATTAGAATTACCGTATAATCCAGCAGTCCCACACTGGGTATATGCCCAAAGGAAATGAAATCAGTATGTCAAAGAGATATTTGCATTTCCATGTTTATTGCAGCACTATTCACAATAGCCACAATATGTAAACAACCTAAGTGCCCATCAATGGATAAATGGATTTTTAAAATGTGATACATATGCACACACACACACACACACACACACACAAATGAAATACTATTCAGCCTGTTTTAAAAAACGGAAAATTCTATCATTTGTGACATGGATACACCTACAACATTATGTTAAGTGAAATAAGGCAAGCAAAAAGAGACAAATACCATAGATTTCACTTATATGTGAAATCTAAAATAGTCAAACTTATAGAGGCAGGGAGTAGAATGGTTGTCCCCACAGGCTAGAGTGGGGGTGAACCAGAAAGGAGAGAAATTGGTCAACAAGTAGAAAGTTTCAGTTAGATAGAAGTTCTGATGTTCTATTGCACAGAACGGTGACTACAGTATAGTTAATAATAACGTATTGTATATTTCAAAATGGGTAAAAGAGATTTTAATGATTCTCACCACCAAAAATGATAAACATTTGAGGTGATGGGTAAACTAATTGGCCTGCTTTGATCATTCCAAAATGTATACATGTATCAAAACATCACATTGTACCCCATAACTATATGCAATTGTTTTTTGTAAGTTAACAAGAAACTTAAAAAAGATCAAAACCTTACTACATGCTTGATTTTCTATGGTATTTTTGAGTATTTACAGCTTCTGAGGTGCTCCATTTTCCTGTCCAGTTTAAATATTAGATTTTCCAGCCTGCTCATGTTTATCACGGTAAAATAAAATGGTTCCTATTTTTAAACTGCGAGGCCAGCTGGCTTGTAGACCACAAATAGGAGAGATTAAGAGAGTGGTTGAGAAAGGAGGTAATTTAGCCAGTGTACCTTCACAGTCTTTGGTTCTGCGCTTTCTCTCAGCAATCCTCGCTTTATTCACCCACCCACCATGATAGCTTTGGGCCCCAGAGCTCTTTAGTCAAGCGCTGTGAGCATGGAGAAGCCAAGCAAAGTGAGGTGCCAGGAAGATGGAACACCAGCATGGATTATAACCACAGCTCTACAAAGGCAAAGCCTATGAACAAGGCAATTATCACTCCTGCTCTGTGATAGGTTTACATCTGCATAATTCCCACTGGTTTAATGCTTTTGTTTGAAAAGCAATCAAAGGTAATCTGAAATCAGTCATCTAAGATAAATATTGCCCCTCTAAGCCAAATTTACCAATATCCACACGCATCATTAATAAGATGAAGAAAACTTCAGCAAATTAAAAGCCTTACTGGGACCATTTGTTCAAGGAAATTGATCTGTTTCTTGAAGCACCAGTCACTAAAGGAATTCTAAGTGTCTTTTGCAGCTTAATCAGTCTTAAAATAGGATTGTTGGCAAATGTATAAGGATTGAGGTGTGCCCTGACTAAACAAATGCAAACAAAGAGACTGTATTCAGTGCTGGGGCTGGAAAACCTATGCTGAAGCTACTTTCATGCATCAACATTCCATACTTCCATATGGTTACTTTAAATGAATCTGCATTTAAGACTGAGTATCTCCAAATTCAGTTACTTTACCAATGAATATTATCTAAACCCCAATGAGAAAAGGCTTTTAAATAAATCTTGCTAATTTACTTTTAACCAATTCACTGGCTTTAATTTTATCCTTTGCAACTCAGGAGAGTATCTGGCTTTGTATTGGGTAAGTGATTAAATCATCAAGTGCACGTGATGAGTTATTTTCTTTTTGAACAACTCTGAAGACTTGACAAACTTTTTAGGTGCTAAGCTTCTAAAGGGAAAAGAACCTGTGTGCAAACAGATTCTTCTGAATAGTCTGTGGTAGATTACAGTGATCTAAACCAGGGGTCAACAAACTATAACCATTAGGCCAAATCCTAGCCCATCACCTGTTTTTGTAAGACCTGAGAGCTAAGAAGGCTTTTACATTTTTAAATAGTTAGAAAGACATCAAAAGATTTCATGACACATGAAATTTAACTGAAACTCAAATTTCAGTGTCCATAAATAAAGTTTTATTGGAATGCAGCCACGCCCATCCATTTACATTTTGTATGTGGTTGCTTTCATACTACAATGGCAGAGTTGAGTAAATGCAATAGAGCCCACATGCCCTGCAAAGCCAAAACTATGTACTATCTGACCCTTTACAAAAAAAATGTTTGCTGGGCTCTGATCTAGACAAGTGTAATCATAATAGCGAATAATATCAATTATAATAGTAAATATAATTCTCTTTTCAATTATTCATTCCCATCTTAAAGTTTTACTTCTTTCATTTATGATTCTAAAAGGAACTCATGTAAAAATGTTAAAATAAAAGTAAAATCCAGCAAGAGAATAATCTGTAGCCAGTTAGTATGAAGATGAATTCCATTTTAGCTTCCAACGAATGAGTCGGGTGTTGAGATTTCTAAAAGTTTACTCCTCTAAGGACATTTTCTTTGGGCAAACTCAGTTTAGGAGTTGGGCCTGTCAACTGCAATCATATTCATGATTACTATAAATAGATATGAGGGAGGTTTAGTTTCTCTGAAGATCAACTCTACATACTCTTAGTGTACAAAGATAAACGTGAGCAGTACACTCACTTTAAACATGGCTAATGAAGTCATCCTCTCACAGCAACCCCCAGAGAAATTTATTTCTATGAGGAAGAGAGAAATTATGTACACATTAGCCTCCCATTAGAAATAACCATGTGCCACAGGAAGTAGTTCTATTGACAGACATCAAGTGAGAGTTGGCAAGATGGGTCTTGAAGAAGCAGTCAATCATGACCCACCTGGGGACCTGGAGACCCCAGATGCTAAAGACTGGACCCAAGTAATTCTTCCACATAATCAATTTAAACAACCTTTTTTCTTTGGGAAGAAAATAAGGACAGACATCTACACAAAAATACTATGAAATATTTTTAATCCTAGAAAGGATGTGATTACTAGTAACTAAAGAGGGGAAAAGTCAACAATAATGAAATTCAGGTTTTTTAATTCAGTGAACACATATCAAAATGCTCAATGTTGTTAAATGACATAATATAATTTATCCACAGAAGACATGTTCTCATCCATTGGAAAATTGATTTAAATACGTTTTGACGAGTGCTAAGAGATGTTATAGGCAACAGTTGACTTAATGAAGTAGTTAAGGCTTCAAAATTGTGCCTTTTAGAAAAATAACAAATAACTTCTTCTACCACTTAGGGGGGAAAAGGAACAAGTGTCAATCAAAAGTCACAGAAACATGATTAATTTATTCCTTTCAACATTTCACTGAGCTTTGCAAAGGCCAGGCATAAAACTAAAGGAAATTTTATAGCCAGGATTGGTCTAAATATTTTCCCCATAATATTCTTTCTGTCATACTTCTTCAGTGCTTGAAATAAAATGACAAACCACTGGAATCCAAGGGAAAAAATCACCTCCTTCCCAAAGATGGGACTGTGCTGACAAAATATATTTAATATCTAAAATTAGAAATAAAATAAATTCTCCAATATCAACTACATTTTCGGAGAGTTCATTAAAATTTAAGGCATTTTTGACATGTCAGAGATTTTAGTCCAGTGACAGGAGAAGAAAGAAGCTACCTGGGAGAAAATCCCAATTATCTCTATGGCTTGGAACATACATATTGAACACAGTGGAAGATGAGGAGAAAGGTGACAGGTGGCTGTGGAAGTTTTCTCACTCTGTCCAGTCTATACAGCTTTGCCAGGGTTCCTCTGAAAGGGTTCATTTCAAATGTATTTTCACTCTTCTGTTTAAATTTTGATCAAAATGCAGACATGCTCATAAGCACTCTGTTGGCAGGATAAAAATGAAGAATGCCAACATAATGTCTTCTTTATAAGAACATTCAAGAAATTAAATGCAAAAAAAGGTTTATGCAAAGTGACTCCCTCCCTGAATCCCAGAGCAAACAATGACAACCTCACCTATACTCATATGTGCAACAGCAGAGATATACACAAAACATTCATTCAATAATAACAGAATGGTCTAGTGTATTACCAATCAGCCAAATAAACACAATTATTCATTTTTCTCCCATTTTCCACAAAAATAAAGACACCACCTTCAGACACAAAAGTTACAAGTCATACTTCATTGGAATGCTTGGGGCAAATCATTTCCCTACATATATGCCCTGCCTCTCTCAGCCAATCACAACTATTTTTTTAAATCTGCATTAAGGTCTATAAAGATTACTGTTTATTGGAAACAAATAAGAGCACCTTAGATCAGCAATGGCCAGGAAACCCCCCTCTTTCCCAGTTTTAAATCAATTAAGGTTTACACGAAATTGGTCAAATCCAACTTCATTCATACTTCCTTCAACAAATAATATCCAAGTCGTGCTAATACCAGTAGCCCACCATAGAAAATATCACAATTATCTGGATCACTTTTGAATAAGAACAATAATTCTTTCATAACTGCTTATGAAATAACCACATTCTTATTATGAATACAATTATATGTAATTTTTCAAAACTGAATTCCTGCCTTATTGGATTATTTTTTTAAAAAGTTTCTGAGAAAGTCAACATCCTCAAAGTCTTGCAGCAGAAAAATAACCATATAACCTCTGGTGCTTGACAAAGAACAAAA
Organism: Homo sapiens; assembly: GCF_000001405.40. NCBI lineage: Eukaryota > Metazoa > Chordata > Mammalia > Primates > Hominidae > Homo > Homo sapiens. Next base: position 86,879,530 of record NC_000007.14, read on the forward strand.
GTCCCACTGACATTTTCTGGAGACCATGAAATTACCCCAGTATTTCATACAGTCATCTGTACTTATAGACAAACCTTCTCACTCTCTTCTTCATGATTTTGCCAGTGATTTGATTGACAAGCTTTCCTATTTACTTTAATTATACTTCTAGCACTACATAAACTGTTTTAAGTCATTTGACTTCTATGATACTAGCAGCTAGTTTGCATTAATGGAGAATTAGGGCTTCTCGTTACCTTTCTTACTTTTTTGTTTTTTAGATTCCTTCAAACTTTCAGTCAAGCCCTTCTTACCAGCTCCAACGAGGATGGAATTTCAAAGGCAATTATAAATCTAGATAACCCAAGCACATGCTAACTCTTCCTGAAATTTAAATCAAGAGAAGATAACCTATGGAAAAATGAAAAATTTATTGTCTTCATTGCTCACCATTTTTTAGTAGAAAAGCTGTTTTAAGGTCAGGAAAATAAATAATGGGAAAAATATACCTTAAAAAAATTTTAATTTTCCCCAAAATATAAACAAAGAAAAAACATAAATTGGATCATAATGCATATGCTCACATGTGCCTTCCAAATCACACTTGTTATGTAGACATCATAAAGAATAAAAGTTACCCATTAATTATATGGCATGCATCAGCAGTGCATTGGTGGGCTTAAACTTGGTTTTCAGTTATGTGTATATACAGATAAATCTCTTCCTGAGTTGAGCTTCATCTTCAGTTGAGACCCAAATCATTTGCTTTCCTTTATTTGGCAAGGTACTTGACCATGTGATAAGGCAATCAAATGTTTCAATCTCCTTCCCTTTTCAGCGGCATGGCCCTCCTCTGTGAGATCACCAATGTGACAGGTATGAGGACAGACCCTAAAATATGGTCCTGTAAAACTAGAGCAGGTTTCTTTGTTCATTAGTCTCAAGGCTACAGCACTGTCTCTTCATATATTTGGGGATCTTGAGGTTTTCAGTTGAACAGATTCAAAATGGTCTTCTTTTTCCTAAGAAAAAATATTAAAGACAAAATCAACTCACTGAAATTCTCGTAAGATTTTAGGATCTTACATGTCCAGAAGGAAAGTTCCAGAAATCATTTTAACCTATCTAGTTGCCACTTGTGATTAGGATTTTACAGTTAAAATTGGGTGGCAGATATAAAACAAGTAGCATGCCTACCCTGAAGGGCACTTTTGATGTCCAAGAGATAAGACAGACAAATTCAAAATAGAAGCAAACCCATGATTGCAATAGATACCAAAAGACATAGCTGTGATCCCTGCAAAGAAACCACTGAGACCCTTCCTGGGGACATACCTGACCTGAGTGCTGAAATCAATGACCTAGCCATGCTAATTGTGGGCAAAACAGAACTGACTAAATATTTTCAGGATAATATAGGCAGAATAATAAGAAAAAGGACAGCAGAAATAAATAAGGAGAATGCCAACAAGACATTAGATCAGTTGAGTTCACTAATATGTTTTAGGAAAATCTTTTAGGTATATGCCTATTAAAGATATTAAACAAGTCATCTTTGATAATAGGTCAAAATTTTCACTCAAATGTATCATTGCTGGCATTATATAAAACATTCAAAATGTAGACTATTAAAATAAATTAGTTTTCTTTAATGAGGAAAGGAGAAAGAGGAGATGGGATTTCTTCCAACCTTTTATTGTATTTTTGAGACAGGGTCTCTCTCTGTCACCTAAGCTGGAGTACAGTGGTGTAATCTCAGCTCACTGTCACCTCTGCCTCCCAGGCTCAAGTAATCCTCCCACCTCAGCCTCCCGAGTAGCTGGGACCTCAGATGCGAGCAAGCACGCCCTTTTTTTTTTTTTTTTGAGTCAGAGTTTCGCTCTTGTTGCCCAGGCTGGAGTACAATGGTGCAATCTTGGCTCACTGCAACCTCTGCCTCCTGGGTTCAACCAATTATCCTGCCTCACCCTCCTGAGTAGCTGGGATTATAGACACCTGCCACCACGCCCAGATAATTTTTTGTATTTTTAATAGAGACGGGGTTTCACTATGTTGGCCAGGCTGGTCTCGAACTCCTGTCCTCGTGATCCGCCCACCTCGGCCTCCCAAAGTGCTGGGATTACAGGCATGAGCCACTGCGCCCGACCACCTAATTTTTATATTTCTTTGTAGAGACAACATTTTGCCATGTTGCCCAGGCTTCTTCCAACATTTTAATTGTTAGAGAAAGCTTTCTGAAGGCTGCTGGAATGGGATAGGGAGACTATGCTAATAAAGAGAATAAAAATGAAGAGAACTATGACTATTTTTTAAAATAAATGAAATAGGAGGCCAATCAGTCTCACATGCAAATAGATGTATGTCTAAAGTAGAATAGTGACATGAGAAGATAATAGGAAGTCGACATTGAGTAGCTGTCAGGAAGGGTAAGTTTGCTTTTGTGTTTGCTTTCATTGGGGTGGATAAATCCAAGAGCTTTAGGGCTACAGGGACAGGATTATAGAAAAACATCATAGCATACACACAAACATATCAGTTTTTCCCTGCCTCTGCTGAGCTGACAAGCCTCTGGAAGAGCAGACTGTAGATCTTCTCAGTGCTCCTGCTGACTGGCTCTGTGAGAACTGGCCTGAGGTCTCATGTTTAACAGCCTTAACAATTTTTTAGAATAACCATTAGCAGTTGAAATATTTGTTAAGCACCGTCTCTGTTGCAGGACCATGACTAGACTTTAGGGATACAAAAATGAGTACAGCAAGATGTCTTCCCTCAAGGAGTTCATAGGATATTAAAGGAAAGAGCTCTAGGGTATCAGCCATAAACTCAAAAGAAAACATGAGATTTCTGCAGCCTTTGCTTGAGAAAATTTGATTCAACATGGTGTTGTGGTGAGGGAAGGCAGAGACCTGTTGGTTATCTTCAAGGTAATATTTAAAGTAAAACACTGAAAATCCTTTATAAAATCATGTTGAGATAATAGGGCTTTAATAGCCCTGTCCTCTGCATTTGCATGGGATTGTGCTCCTATTGCTGAAATGGTGGGATATACACACATACACATGTGTATATAATTAGGTAGGTAGTGCCACTAACTGACTGGGACTTCCTAATGGCAGGAACTCTATATCTCATTCATTGTTTAATTCCTAAGATATGACCCAAGTCCTACCACTTGGTAGGTTGTCAATCAATGGTTATAAAAATCTATTGAAATACCACATTGGAGAAGGAAAAACACTGGATTGGAACTTGGGAGACATGACTTCTAATTCCTATCTAACCCCTTTGGACAAATAAGTGAACCTCGCGAGGTCTCAATTTACTCATGTATTAGACAAGGGTTCCAAACAGGATGATCTTTTTCAGCTCTAAACCCAAGAATCTTCTCCAAAGCCAACTTCCCCCAGAAGGTTTTCCTCACCTTGTCACTATCTTCCCTACTGCACTCCCTTCTCCCCAATGCTGCAAGACACCCTACTCTTGTTCTTGACATACTGGATGATCGTTTGAAAGGGGTGTGTGTGTGTGTGTGTGTGTGTGTGTGTGTGTGTGTGAAAGACATGTGTCCTCCCCTAATATTCTAGTTGGTGTCTGAGTTGAGAAATTGTGTCTAATTTGACGTAACACCCAAATTTGGCAAAGTGTCTTACAATGTCCCATAAATGGTAGTGAAATAAATAAAAGAAACACATAAAAATTGATTTAGTTTTAATTGCTGAGAAAAGTCAAGAATAATAAATCTATACATAAACCCGAGAATTGCAGTGCAGTGCTAGGGAAATATCAAATAAGGTATGGCCTTTAGAACATAAATGAGCATATCTAAGATAAAGCAAACCCTATATGACATAATAGTTAATGAACATAAACATTTTTTGCTCTCTGAAATCATGTATAACAAACTTCTTAAAAATAGACACACAATAAGATATGTGCAACGATATTTATAGTAGCTTTATTCATTGTCAAACACTGGAAATAGCACAGGTATCAATCAACAGACTGGATAAACAAATGTTGGTATATCTACACAATAGAATACTACTCTGGAATACAAAGGAATCTACTTCTGTTAACACGAGGCGAATGAATCTCAAAAATATCTTTCTGAGTAAAGTAAAATGTACACAAAATACTACAGATACTGTGTGATTACATTTATATGAAGTTCTATAACAGATAACACTAACCTATGGTTTAAAAAGATCATTACAGTAGTTTCCTTTGGGAGATGTGGGATTGACTGCATGTAAAAATACATGTTACTCTCAGGGGTGAACTAGTGTTCTATATCTTGATAGGAATTGGGGGTTATAGATGTATATTCATTTCTCAAAATTCATTAAATTGTATATTTGTAATGTGTGCCTTTCACTTAAAACAAACTTAAGTATTGAATTATCATCAATGATAAGTTCCCTGAAGTGTTTTGGGGTGAAGTGTATTGAAGTCTGCAATTTACTTTGAAACCGAACAACAGAAAAGAATATGGGTTGATGAAAGGATGGAGGGACGGATATGTAATAATACAAATATAATAAAATTTGTATGGTGGGCATATGACTATACCACTGTATGATTCTTTCAACTTTTCTGTACTATTTCAAAATTTCATTTTTAAAGTAAAAAAATCATTACGCTAACTAAAATTGCTATTCAAAACAAAATTCACTACCCTGAATCTTCTCAGGGAAGAAAACTTTTTTATACTCTAATTGGAGAGGTGACTGCTTGTTGAGTACTGACTGGGAAATGGGTTAAAGAATTCACAGTTCACCTGCCTCAACAGTGCCCTGGATGCTTTAATTATCCTCTAGCCCGAAAGACTTCCTCATTCACCAGGCAATCAGCCTTAGGTATGCCCCATGGTAAGAACTACAGTTGACCTTTGAACACCACAAGTTTGAACTGCACAGGCCTACTTATAGGCAGATTTTACAAAACTGAACCCGGATTGAAAATACAGCATTGGTGGGAGGTGAAAGCCACCTAAATAGAGAGCTGACTTTTCACATAGGCTGGCTCTGCAGAGCTGACTGCAGGATTTAAGTATGCTTGAATTTTGGTATACTCAGGGGCCCTGGAACCAATCCTGTATGACCGTACAGCTAAAATTCATCCTGGTAGGCAAAGGAGGTTTCACCCTCTTTTAGATAAAAATTACAGAGACATGCATCATCTACAAGGAGTACTAAAAGGGAAAAATGGAAATCATTTATGGGAAGAAACCTGAGAGATTACGAAAATTTTGACTGACTCACTTTAGAGATAATTTGGCAGGACTCAATGACTGTTTGGTAAGCAATTCAGAATGACAAGCAGGTGGGCCATTTTTGGGCTCAACACCTCTTGCAATCTATCATGCAAATTTTAGATATATTCATAGATGACAGTAAAAAGGTCCCAGAGATTTTGAAGTGGGTCCTGACTACAATACAGAGAGCTTTCCCTGAGACTGATTCCCATAGGAAAACTTAGTGAAGCATTGACTCATATTTGGACTCTTATTGTCGCAGATTGGGTTTACAACGCGGAAGAAGTTCACTAGAGAATGAGAAACTGATCCAAAGGACTCTAGATAAATTAGTATGGTCAGGTCTACCTGGAAATTTCCCCTACTTTTATGTTAAAACCAGGAATTACATTAAACATTATTAACAATAGCAAGAAATACTCTGGATTAAGATAGATTCTTTAAACATGTCTCCAATATGCAAGTCAAGTACAAATCAACAAAAGGACATAAAACCTGCAGCCTCAGAGAAAAAGCAATATGAAAGTGGCCTCTAAGTTAAGGGGTCCCCAAAGCTCAAATAAATGATGTCAGTAAACAGAACCTTGCTGTTCAACATAGGCCTTTGGGTAGACCAAAAACATTGAAAGCATTGGAAGTTGGTTGGATCATTAGCAGCTGATATGCTGGTCAAAAATAAAAGTGAATGCAAACATCTTGTCTACTGTCAAAGATTCTCTCTCTCTTCAGTCTTAATGCCTCCCTCCCAAACTACCCCAACTTCAGCTGCTTCAAGAAAAAAGATAATTAGAAAGGGGACTAAAGTTTTCCTGTTACCAAGAGGGACTGGACAATACACACCCATCTGAATCTGCTAGGAAAACCTGGAGAGGGTTTCTTAAACATTTACCACTCTGTTGGTTGCAGGCACTCAAGTCACCATCATACCTACTCTCCTGTGGGAAAAGAGGAGCATACAAATAAGAGGATTTGAGCAAGGTTTAGAGTAGAAAAGGGAAAATAATGTGATCTTTGGAGGGATTCTATGTGTCCATTCAAGATAGTGTTGTTGTTGCTTCTACATCTGAATATACAGTAGAACTTGATGTTATATGCTTGTACTTCCCCATCTCATACATGCTAAAGGAGATCCCTTAACCAAGAACAGCTACATGTAGAGAAGGGCCAGTAGGCAGTAGGATACCCCAGGAGTTTCCAACTGCCATTTGCAACAAATGGTGAGTCAGGGTTTCACACAAGTTCCTTTACCTTCTGATGCCCAAAACAGTCACTATATAAATTAGGTCCTTTTGGTGTCAAGTCAGAAGTCTCCATATCAACAGCCCTGATTGAGTTATGACACTTCTACTTACAGAGGTGGTTGATAAACCCCCAAAACATTCAGGGACCTGCTACCTAAGTAAAGTTCATTGGAACTATGTAAGCAGATTTACAGTGCTAAATCTACCCAGCAGTTAAGGAAAAACAGCCCAGCACTTTACTTGACTCTGCTATTGGGACAGTGTTGGACCGCATTTGAGTATTCTACTTGTTCTTTTATATCAGCTAGCCTACAAAATAGTATCCTTTGAATTGGACCCAAACTAACAGGCTATGTTAAAAGCTGTCCAGAAAGCTGGGGCACACTCTTTACCTTTATGGCCTCACAATCATAATGACAACTTTGTGATACAATTCTCTATAACTAATGATTTTGCCAATTGGAGACTCTGGCAAGAGGAGACAGAGGTACCCTTTGAGGTTTTAGACTCATTACCTCTTGATATGGCTACCAGCTATAGCCATTAGTTGGTCACTGAACTAGTCAAAACTAAATTTCATTCCCATGCCCCAGATCTTGTGACTCTACAGCTTGATAGTCCCATTTATGGTCGCTCAACAAGGTAGAAAAGGCTGAATAAGCCTCACTTGTCAAATACGAATGGCATATATTCAAGAATGCAGTTGGTCTTGCCCCAGTGGCATGTAGGCCTCACATAAAAATGTGGCAGCATACCCTTTGGGGGAAACTTTATCCCCTACTCCACGGCTCAAAACAAAACCACTGACTCAATAGGACCCTCGATTTATCGAGGTTCTACTACATGTTGGGCCTGGTTCACTGATGATTTGGTTGAGCTGAAGCCCAGTGGTATCCACTGGCTGCTACAGATATTCAATCATCTATGAATAACTGAAAACCAACAAGATTGCTCAGCTCAGTGGACAGAACTCAAAGGCATTATCAAGACCTACACATTACCTCCCTTGATAAACTTCATTATATTTTTCTGACTTACTGACTCAAGCTATTGCCAATGGCTGGCTGTTTTGTCTGCCACTTGGAAAATTAAAGACTGGCATTTCAAGGTTACCCTTTTTGGATACCACTAAAATAGATCTTAGTTTTGGATTAAAATATGTGTCACTCATGTAGATGCCCAGGTAAGGATCCTTCTTATGAAAGATGAAATTGAATCAAGCTCCTGATAGAGACTAGACAAGACAGACTGTCACAAATGGTGCATGGGTCCATCATCTCCCCCAACATGGCAAAGCATCTGCCATCATAGACTGGGCACAAGGGCACATATTTTTCTTATGCAGAGGTTACTGCAGATGCCAGACTTGGGACTCATGCCAAAAGTTGACCAGTTCTTCCTGGGCAAATTGATTACAAAATACCTTTGACCACCTCTTTGGGCTACTGGTGATGCCTCACCACTATTTACAACTGTTCAGGGTATGGTGTTGCTATTCCAGTCTGATCAGCTAACTCTACCCATACATTGTGAACCTTGAAACAAATCAGTATAAAGTTGGTAGCTTTAAAGACCATTTGCTGTCTGACAATAGGACACTTTTTATCACAAAAGCTACCCATAAATTAGTTGAGAGTAGAGGTATTCAGCGGACCTTCTACATTTCCTACTGTCCAAAAGCATATGGTACTATTGAGCATTGTAAGACCTTCTCAGAAAGTGACTCAAAAAGATTTCTGACTCTATCTCCCTCACCTCCTCCTGATCCACACATCTTAATACAGCAGTTTGGTCATCAAATATGGCTGCCCATGGAAAGGGATCATCTCCTTTTGGCCACTTCACAGATAATGATCAGGAAGAACACACATACACATACATACACACAGACAGACACACATATACACCACTACATAAGGTTATTTACACTTATCTGAACATCCTGGATTCTGCCTCACCAATCTAGGGCATGATGTGTTATTTACTCCAACAGTAACCTCAGGCTTCCTGGGTACAACTTCTAGTGATAGCCCACCCAGAAGGGGATCTAGGAAATTCAAATATAATTCTGGTTTAACCACCTGTATTGTTGCTTTGTTGGCTGTCATGATTATAGATAAGAGAGATAATGACCACCTGATGAGTGCACTGCCCCCCAAGTCCCCCTATCATGGCCCACATGGACAAAGCGGGGGTACACACTGAGTCTCTATATGTTTCTATAAAATGCCTTTATCCCTCTTGCACATGAATGTTCTGGATAGATATGGGTAGAAATAAGGTGAAATTATAGTTACTGAAATGAGACAAGCTGGTTTTTTAGCACTGGAAAGAGACAACAACACAGTCTGATAATGGAGGAGACAGCTTAGACCCTGAGAAGTATGGGGAAATAAGGGACATTAAGAATCATATGATTTTTTAGGGTCACCCTGTCACCTTCCTATGAAGAAAAATGCTCTGATGTGGCTCTCTCAAATCATGGCAAAGGCCTTTAATTTAACTAACTGCTGGGTCTGCCATACCCACCACATGCTCTCATCACAATTCATTTGCCATTCCCCTTAAACTAACTGAGAAATTTATCCAAAAGAGCAGGAAATGGCCTCAGCCCCTGCCCCAGAGTAACACCAACATCTCATTTCCATAGCCATTATTTAGTCATTTCATGAGGTGAACAAAAGTCACTAGTTTGCAGTGTGGACAAACAGGGAGAGTTGAGCTGACTTCCCTCAAGCAGTCTCCCTGAAGACAAAAAGGAGACATCATTATATGAGGTGAATTGGAAACCCTAAGGCTTACTAGCCAGCAAAGAAGCCACTTACAGGAACAGTCAACCTGTGCTGCCTGCACAATGTAGGTCCCACTTCATGTACCCCACAACTGTGAATAACACTTTCTTTGCAGAGGCACCATGTGTACCTCCAGGACTGCACTTCTTGTGTAGAAGTCAGACACTAACTTGCTTCCTCACTAAAAACATGATAACTTACACCTTAGGAGTAGTCATAAGAGATCTTCAACTGTTTAGGAAAATACCCCTACTGTTATGGATGTTAGAAAAGGTGGTATAAAATTTGCCTTTGACCTTAGCTTGAAGTAATCAATTACACCACCTCAGCCATCAAAGGCATTCAGGTCAACATCAACTCACTGTCCATACATTGTTATTCACAATATAATTACCCTATACTTTCTCTTTGAGAACCAAGACAAAGTCTGTGCAATCACTAATATATCCTGTAGTACCTGGATTAATGTATCTGGATTGTCTTGTTGGATTGCCATGACCCTAGATCAAAAGGATAGTAACCACTTGATTGAGTTTACTGCTCACCAAGTGTGTGACAAAAATCAGAGATACAGTACCCCCCACCCTATTCCCAGGGGATACATTCCAACTCCCCCCCAGCTCCAGTGGATGCCTGAAACCAAGTATAGTATCAAACCCTATAATACTGGTTTTGTTTTTTTTTTCAATCTGATAATCAAAATGACTACTAAGTAACTAACAAGCAGGTAGTGTATATGGCAAAGATATGCTAGATAAAGGGATGATTTACTTCCGGGGGGGACAAGGCAGTACAGTAGGAGATTTCGTCACACTATTCAGAGGAGCACACAATTTAAAACTTGTTGTTTACTTCTGGAATTTTCCATGTAATGTTTGCAGACCACAGTTGACGGTGGGTAACTAAAACCACAAAAAGTAAGACCATGAAAAGTGAAACTGCAAATAAGGGAGGACTTCTGTATATTGGGTTTCTGTTAAGATTTTGAAAATTTCCTTGTCCCCTTTTTGTCCAAATCTTATGGAGGAAATATCTGAGTGCCAGTGGAAAGGTCAACACAAGAAAGCTATCTAGCTTTCTAAGGTAAACCCTGATGGTTCATAGCATTTGTTCAGCTAGTTGAGTCTGGGACCCTGAGGGTAGGGTTGAGGTTAACAATACAGATTGGCCTCATCTTGGTGAGATGACTTCTGCTTGGTGTCCTATTGGTAGTAGCTTTATTTAAATGCTGTATAAAGCAAATTGATCAAATTTGATCCCAGCTTCAGTCAGTCATATTAATCAGAATGGTGCATGGAGTGGGGAAATAAAGGGAAAATTCATCAGAAACCAACATGGTATAAAAATGAGGTTTGGATGTTGTTGGAGACAATTCTCCATGGTTCTCTTTCATTTCTGTACATCTTAAAAGTGAGAAACTGATTACCCTTTGTTCTAGACTATCTTTTCAAGAATCTTTGTATAGAAAATTTCCTTGGAATATAAAGATATATTGTCTCCTTCCTGAGCAAAGGGTAGGCTTGCTTACAGTCTTGGAAATAGTGTCTCCCAGAAGCAATGGACAGGTATGCTACCTGTCCAAAACAATAAAGATAATAGCCCCCTTTGAGGCAAAGGATGGGCATGTTTACTGTTCATTATGAACATTCAGGTTCCTAAGGCCTAGCATCCCTTTCCTGTAATGCAACCAAGTGATATCATTTCCTCTGCAAATAGCGCTGTGGGAACACAGCCTTGTGGGCTACCTGTGGCTTTGGGAGCTGGTATAAAGGTTATTACTCTGCTAGCACTACTCTATGAATACGAAACTGTCCTTCATCTCTGACATGACTCTCATGTCTTCTAAACTGTCCATGAAACTGTAGCAGACTCACTTGTTAGCTTGCAAGTAGGGTAAAGATCTCCGATCTTAATAATCACTATTTTTTTGTTATTTTATGGCAATAGTACCCTCCTTACATCTTCATATTAATAAAAGGAAAAATTAACCATTAGTAGAAGGGAAAGACGGTTTATTCATTTTTACTCTTAAATAATTCCCTATATTTATGTGCCTAAATTAGGAGAGTACAAGGAAATGGTTACTATTACTCTTTATAAATGTAAATTTTGTCTCTTGTCTATCCTGTTATAAATCATTTGAAAGTCATCTTCTTTCTTCTATTTCATTCTTTTTTAATCTTAAGTAAGCTGATAATTTCTCATCTTTTAAGTCAATGGTGAAAAATATCAAATAAAATGTCTTTTCAAACAATGTATGGTTTCATGTTATGTTTGGATATGGTAGTTGTTCCAAAATCCAAAGCCAGCAATATTTTACCTCACATACCTCAATAATTTATATAACTTTTGTTTGCTCTATGTAAAACAATCTTGTCATAAAAAAGGAACAGTATGAATGAATGTAATATCTTTTATTAGCCCCCACTTTTATATTATAAAATAGTATCTTTGTGAAAATTCCAATATCACAAAAATGTATTGCTTTCAAAGACTAAACACTCTCATTAGTTCACTATTCCCAAAAGGCAGCCACTGTTAACAGTTTGCTATGCAAATACAAACATAAATGTATATTTAATATAAATACAATAGTCCATTTGTTTTCACTCTATCTTGGACCTATTGATTTATCAGTACACATAGCTATCTCAATCTTTAACAGCTGCAGAGTTGCATAGTATTCTATCACTTTGACAGATGAAAATATCTAACTCCTTACTGATGATGTTTGACAACCAACGAAAACAATGCTGCAGTGAATATTATTGTATCTATATCATGTGCTTCTAAGAGTATTTCTGTTGGATAAATACCCACTGAGATATAAACATGCAAAATAACAGCTTGCGTGAATGCTATTATTAGGTTAATATGCCCTCTACTTTATAAACACCCAGTAACACCAGGTTAAAATTCTACTCTCACCTTGGTTGCCAAAGATTTGAGTTTTCCTAGTAGTGACTGTTTATTGGAATATACAACTTCCTCTTCATTATCTTCTCCTTCCATGATAGCACAACTGTCTGCAGCCGGGAGTTCACACTCTTTTGAGTTAGTCGTCATTACTAACTTGGAATATTTGTATTCCAGTCTAAATAGTGATAAAATAAATAAACAAATAAGTATCCATTTATGTTAATATAAATAAATACTTATTTTAGGTGGTAATATACCAGCTCATTAAATTGACTTGGAGTATAATTGCTCCACCAACAAATTTCCCTAGCCTATAGCCATAGCAATATGTGTGTTATCATGTATCTACCATTTACAAAGAAATATTTCCCAGGATGTCAGAAATCAGTTCAATAGAGTTAATTCTACCACTTTACATTGAATTGTCCAATAATGAAAAAATTGGGGGGCAGGGACTTTTAGGCCTGAATGCATTTTCTTAACATGAATATTTGGAAGCCAATTCACTAAGGTTTTCCCAGTATTTAGTTCGTAAAGATGAGAATATCAAACAGGCAAGTAATTTGGTCTTTATCATCTCTCTATATTATTTATTCCTTTATACTATCACCCCAGATATTGCAATTGTCCCTAGATATTACAATATAGGAGTTCCACAGTCCCACTGAGGTGTAAATCATTCTAAAAGATTCAAGTCCTATAAGAGATCAAAATACATTCAGGAATTAGGCTCAATATTCAATTCCAGATACTTGAAGACCTGGAGTAAATAAATGTGATATTTGCCTATACACTAGGTCTGGTTTTTTTTGCAAATGTCTTCCCACAAGAAATTTTAAAAGAAAAGGTGAAGGAAGAAGACAGCATTATATCATTTTTAAAAAAGGCAGACACTGAGAGAATACCTGCCTTCCAAATCTCAGCTCTGCTATCATCTACCTGAATAACATGGAGCCTCTTGTTTTCCTTGTTTTCTAATAAATGACTCTAACTCAATGATCTCTAATGTTCTATGATCTTTCTACTGTCAGAATAACAATCGTTTCCTCTGCTTGCTTTCTCAAGGCCTTTCCTATGATTTCTTCGCAAGGAGAAAATTCTTGTGTCTCTGAGAGAATCTATTTATTGGATATAATGATCAAGTCTAGAATTTTCACAACAAAATAGGCCCTCTAGCTCTCTTGTGATCATCTCAGAGGGTACTTACTTTTGATTCTTTTTCCAGAAGTAGCAGGTCAGAGCCACCAGCAAAACGGCAGTAAAAGCTCCCACACCGGCTCCCACCTTCAGCCAAAAGTCAACCGTTTCACAGGTTGCCAACTTTTTCTCAGGCAAAGAAATTCCTTTAATGCACCATTTAGGTTCATTCCACACATACAAGGTTTCCTTTAAAAAAAAAAACATAAAACCATAGAAGACATGAGAAATGAAATTCAGACTCAACTGTGAAAGCTAGATTTGTCACTGGTCAATTTCTTACATAAAAGAAGAAAGGGTTTTGCTAACCCTTTACTTACAGTAGGCATAGAGGATTATTCAGCATTCATTTAATAAAAGCTCCAGAAACACAGGAAAAAAATATATGTGAATGAATAAGGAATTAATGAATGAAAAATGTAAAAACCAAATAAAGACATGGATTGATGGATTGCCACCTGAGAAGGATGCAGTACAGTACATGCCAAGGAGGTTGAATAAAAATGGCTCCATCTGGACATACCTTCTGGGCTATTTTTTTTTTTAATTTTGATGCCTTTAAACATCTTACTCATGTTTTTGAATGAAAGCTTAGGTTGCTTAATCTAAGAAATGGGTTGCATTCACCCATCATGTAAGCCCATTTTCCCAATAAGCCTGTCCTCCGAATGGAAGAACAGACCCTAGACCTGGGACATACAGGTGCACCACGGCTGGGTAACTGGTGTAAGTGGGCACACAGTCTACACCCTTCTTCCCCATGCCAAAATAAGGAGGGCATTATTCTGGGTCATCACTACCCACACCAGTTACTTTCATCCTCCCGAAATAGATGGCAATTCCTTTAGGGCAATGTTTTTCAAACTGCAAGTTACAACTAATTGTGAATAATAAAATATTAATATACTGGGTCTCAACCAGGAATTTTTTAAAATAGACAGATCAAATAGGCAGATCAAAACAGAAAATCCAAGTACAGCATATGGTTCGTTATATATTTCAACATGTACGGTGACCAGTAGCAATTTGCATGGTGATTCTATCCACCAACATTAATAATATAGGCACTAATCTTTTAACGTGTCTCATTAAACTTTCTGGTATATGATGGTCATTTTATCAACACTCTAACAGAGGAATAACACCATAATGTTAATTTTTATGATTTAAATACACAAACAATTTTGCAGTTAGTCATGAAGTGAAAGGGACATGAGACTCTTACTCACTTTGGGGAAAAGTTTGAATCAAGTTTTGGATAGGAAATTTCAGCATGTTTTTTAGAAAGGATATTAGTGACTGGATTTTTTTGTTAGTACATTATAACTGAAACGTGTTTCCTAAACTTAGTGCAAATCAATTTCTTTTTAAGTGGGTCACATTATTTTTTATAAAAATGGTAATGTGGGAAATGCTGAGGCATGTTCAAATTCATCTGCTGCATCTCTAAGTGTCAATAATGACAATACAGAGAGAAACAAATTCGTCAGCAAATGTTGACTTTATTTCAAGTGCATTCTAACAAGAAAAAAAGACTGTACCATCTTTGATATGGTTTTATCAAATGTGCAATGCCCAATGAGAACAGCAAGCTCTACTGTCTGATGACAGTCTTATAACAAAATCTTAAAACTTCAAAATTAAAAAAAAATACTTGCAAACCAAGAATGCTTAACTTTTCAATAAGTGTCTCAAATACCGACATGGAAAAAAATCAAGCTATTGGCAACTTTTCTTAGTAATTCTATAACTATTAATTAGAAAGTCTTATTCATTCAACCACACATCATTGGAAAACAAAAAATGGCTGACACTGCAGCTGAAAAATTTATTCTTCTAGTGTGTAGAAATATCTTGTGAGCAGGGTAAGATAAATTTAAAGATAAATTTTAAGACAGTCCCCTTAGTGATAACACAGTATCTCTTCAAATCTTTAGTGCTGCATGACATATAGAAGTAATGCTTAATACACACTTAGAACCCAGTATAGATTTTGGAGATCCAATTTGATAAGAGCACTTCTATCACAAGTTGTGCGGCTCTTTTTGTTTATATCAGCTGTATGTGGAGGACTTGTATAAATTTAACATACGCGCCTGTATTAGATATATTTAAAGAATTAGAAAAGTGCACGCTCAATCAACATAAAGTAAAAAATTGTAAAGATGGTGTCGGAAATAGGACTGAAACACAACGGGATGGTTAAAAAATGTAAATATACCCATTGCAATATTTTGCAATAACTATTTTTCTTCTATCACGAAGCTTTGGTATCCAAAGAAATCCACATATATTCACTGACAATAAAAAATGCAGCAATATTTGTCATTTGTATATGAAGCTCACGGAGGAGTTGACTTTTTAAAATATTTTATTCAGTGATCGAGGTGGCTATTCCCACTTACTGTATCATACCAATTTTTTATAGTTGCAATGGAATACATTAAGTAAGGTCTATGAACTCAGGAATGACATTCATAGTTTTGTAACTGAAGCTCAAGCTCCTTGGACAAATATTTCCAAAACTGGTATCTAAGCATAACAGAAGGATATATTTAACTACTTCCAGTATTTCTCAAATTAAATTTGTAACTATAGGGGTATGTTATAAATTTCAACATGTCAAGCACATCAAAGTGATCCAAAAAGTATCATTTTAAAGGCAAAAACAAATACTAAAGAATCACACAGCAACTATCTATTCTCAACAATCTTATAATACGTTGAAGTGACCTTACCAAGGAAGAGAGTTTGAATGAAATAAAATTAGAGAATTTGTTGCAAATTTACTGTCTTAACCTTCTCATCATTCATTACCTTCCAGGAGAGAAATATTAAAGAATGTTTGGATAAAAGATCATTCAGCTATTCAAAAACCCTTGAATTAAACTTGGTAGCCAAAGGGAGTGCAGCTTCGTTTTTCATTTACTCTAAAAAACAATTATAAGATAAGCAGTTTATCAAAATTGTAGAGTAAAGGTAAAGAAGAATTTCTATTGTGAAGTAGAAAAAGCATTATCATTATTAAGAGGATTAACAAGAAACTATTTTTGTGAATCTGGAATTTTTATCCTTGACCTACTTAAAAATATTAAAAAGAAACTGTCTCAGCAGTGTGCTAGCTGAGTGAGCGGCACTGACCCTGTGTGCTCTGAACTGAAATAAGCCATCTACGAGGATACACATTTGACAAATTAAATAACACATTTCCTAATTTTTGTTTTTGTGTTGTCTGCTTATTTTTTGTATAATGCTTTAAATTATTAATAAAAATATACTTTACATTAACTCTATGCTTGTACTTTATCATAAAATATAAAATAAATCTTGCTCCTTAAAACTTTATCTCACTTTTAGGCATATTTCTGTGTGTCTAATTTGTGTGTGTGTGTGCTGGGTTTGATGTACAATATAATTCTTAATATAGTTTCACTGCCGTTAAAGTTTGAAAAACACCAACTTAGAGAATAGTTCTCTACGGTTTTTTCCTAGGGGTGAGGTGAACACAACTGCTGCCAAATACTTGGAATGCATGGGATTGGGCGCAAGCATCCTGATTTCATTCCTCTCAAGCTCCTGCCCTTCATCCTGCTAACTGCAAGCTCTTCAAGACCTTCCTGGGCAGAACTGCTTCCCCTCTCTGATTCTCTGGTGCCCACTCTCCCTTCAGGTTTCCAGGATTAGTGTTGATTTATTTTCCTCTGTGCTTCTTTATTATGATTTTAATGGAATTTGGGCATGGAGTGATAGTAAACAAGTGGTCTTGAAGCAGATTAAGTTTGTTTTTTTCATATGATACTACTCAAAGCTAGTTCAGTGAAGCAGGCTCTCTCAAACACTATTGGTGAAAGTGAAAATGAAGTGAAAGTGAAAATTGATATGATCAAAGTAATTTGGTAATATGTATCAAGCCTTAAAAATATCCATTATTTTTGGATTCAATTAATCTCTTTCTAATAATAAACTAACAAAATCAAACTTCCTTCAGACGTTTGCTACAGAGTTATGTACAAAAAGATTGTATTCAATTTTCTCTCAAATGTCTAACAAAGGAATTATTTAATACCAAATTATATAAAAAATAAAATATCTATCAATAAATATGTTTTTAAAAATATATTTAATGAGAAGGGAAAGTTTTCATAATGTATTAAATATAAAATGGAAACAAAAAATACTTAAGTATGAATGCACAGAAGCTATAGAGTAGGATCTTGATTTTATATGTATATGCTTTACTTTTTAGGCATGCTTCTTATAGTGAGTCAGTTATATTATCCCCATCTTAATTACACCTATACCTACATTATGTAAATCACATCTTGGTTTAATGATGTTATTCCCATATAATCCAGGTAAATACTAAAAGCCTGTGACTCCCTTATCATGATTCATTCTCCTCAATCCCAGTGCACATCTGCAGCTACCCTAGCATCTGAGAGTTCAGCTGCCAAACTTGATTTTAAATGCCTACCAATGTAACATTAAGTTAAATACAAGCTTTTGCCATACTTCTGGACCTGAGTTTCTATGATTTGATGCCAGATTAACCAACTATAATGCCGAAGCTCTGCCTTGAGAGTTTATCCCTTACCTGAAATCCTCTCTTGCAGGCTCCCTCAATCTCATGGAAGTCATGCTCCGTACACAGAGGGCAAGCTTCAGCACTCTCCCACAGGAAATAGAACGTACACCCATCACAGGTACCTGCTGGGCACTTGCTAAAATCATAAACAAAACCAAAAACACATAAGTGGCAGCTTTTTAACCCATTCAATCCACTCTAATCAACACCAGAATACCTATCACATGCTGGGGAGCACTGTGTGGATGCTGAAGAAACACAAGTGGAAAAAAGTCTAAAAGACACAAACCACTATGAGATAACAGTTTGTACCTAGTAGGATGGCTGGAATCAAAAAGATAATAACAAGTGTTGTCAGGATGTGGAGATATTGGTGTCCTCATGCATGCACAGCTGATAGGAATGTAAAATTGTGCACCTGCTTTGAAAAGTTTAGCAGTTCCTCAACCAATTAAGTATAGAGTTACTATTTATTCCATCAAGTTCAGTCCTAGGTATAAACCCAAGAGAAATGAAAACATATCTCCACACAAAAACTGGTACATCAATGTTTATAGCAGCATTTTATATAATAACCAAAAGGTGGAAACAACCCAAATGTTTATCAACAGATGAATGCATAAACAAAATGCAGTATATCTGTATAAAGGAATATTATTCAGCCATAAAAGAAATGCAGTAAGGCATACCACAACTTGGAAGAACCTCGAAAATATTATGCTAAGTGAAAGAAACCAGTCACAAAATTTCACAGATTATATGATGCTATTCATATGCTATTCAAAGTCCAGAATAGAGAAATCTATAGAGACTGAAAGTAAATCAGTAGTTGCTCAGGGCTGGGAAGTGGACTAGGGCATAGGGGACTGAGAGCTAAAGGATATGAGGTTTCTGTCTGAGGTGTTGAAAATCTTCTAAAACTGACTGCGGTGGTGGTTGCCCACATCCCTGAATACTCTAAACACCACTGAATTATATGCTTTAAATGGCTGAATTGTATGGTAGGAGAATTATATTTCTATAAAGGTTTTTGTTTTTAATTTAAGAGAGAGACACAATGACCAAAAAAAAAAAAAAAAAAAAAGGCTCTGGAAATGCTTCTTGGTAGAAATGATACCTAAGCTGAGTCTAGAATATTTGGTAGGAGTTAGCCAGAATAGAAAAGAAGAAAGCAAAGAAATTCCTGCAAAGGAATGAACAGGTATGATTAATTGGCAGGAAATTACATGTGGGTCATTATTGCTGGAGTTTCAAGAGCAACGCAATGAGTGAGTGCTGGGCATATGGAGAGAAACTAGGTAATGAAAGGCCTCATATGTTACAGAAGTTGTAACTTCTGTTTAAGGTAATGTACTTAGGCGAGGTACTTTAGGGAATAGAATGCTGCACAGGACCCTGGTCTTTTAGAGGTAGGAGAAAGACATCATCACAAAATTGTCTGAAGTGAAAAACAAACCAACCATCAGGTCAACATGCAATGAAGTGATGCAAATAGCGTTGCAATCTTGGGTTTCCTTGGCCTAATGACAACCTGAAAAGGTGGTTACCTTCACTACTCTGAAGATGATGGATGTGGATGGGGCTTAGACACAGGGATAGGATCACGAAGAACTAACCACTAGGGAGGCTCTGGAGACTTTTTGAAACTCTTCTTTCTAGCGGGTGTGCCCATTACCTCAGCTTGCCTCTTTCATTCTGGGACAGGTAAACATAGCATGGCTGAAAAATTAATGGCTGCTATGGTGTACAGAATCCTTACTGATTGATGCCGGAAGCTATTTGGACAGATTTTAGTAAGAACTGCTGTTTTGTTCATGAATTCATTAAAACTAGAGGAATTTAAATTTGTCTACCACTTTCGGCTTCCTTAAGCCACATAAATATAGGCTTTGCCCTGAAAACCTCCTTTAGACCTCAGCTGGTCCTGAGGACAGGTGTCCTGAAACCCTTAACAGCAAAAGGATAGCCACAAAATAGTAAGGGAAATTTAAAAAACACTCTTTTGAAGTTTTAACTTCAAATACCTTTCCAGTGATACATGGTTCAAAACTATAATATTCAGTCTAACAGCAAAGTAAAATTTCATACTGTTAGTTAACTAAATATATTCTAAGACACCCTAAGATATGAACACTAAAAAAAAAATCTACATGTCTAAAAATTGACTGCATTTTTACATGCCTATCTTTCCAAAGTGTCTGTAGACTAAGCAGAGGTGGTGGGATGTGAATAAAAGCAATGTTGTTTATAGCATGCTGTAACTGAGGCCCTATGCCATATGTCAGGGCTAAGAACAATGACAAATAGTGACTCTGGGGAAAATGGTTTAATTCTTATCTGCCTTAATTTCTCTGTTTTTTTTTTTAAAGAGTAATGAATATATTCAGACTGAAACAAAGATAGGTGGTTTTTTTTTAAAGTAAGTACAATAGATGAAAACCATGCCACATAAAATATCCATACTTTCCACCTTCTAGATTAGTAAAAAGCAACTCAAAATTTTTCTTTCTTAAAAATTAGGTAAACAATGAGAAAAAATATCCAAGAATACAATTTCCTGATCATTTAGTGAAAATAGCAAAAGTGCTCTCCTGTTCAAATCTTCCTCCCCAAATTATCCTACATTTTGTTTTCTAGCACAGTGGAGTTTTGAGTAAGGAAATAAAAAACAGTTTATCTTGGGAAAATAGAAGAGAAAGTCTGTTAAAATCTGAGAAAAATGAACTCAATAAATGAAAAAAAAAGGAGAAAACTAATCAAAGTTGCAAAAACTTCTAAAGAAAAGATCTGGGTTACAATTCTAACTGGACACTCGAATGATTATGTTTTCCTACAAATGACTTAACTCCTTCTTTCCCCTGCCACATTTTTGTAATTTGTCAAAATCAAACGTCTGCTATACTGCCTTCACGGGGTAGTTATAATGGATAAAATGAGTGAACAATTTTGGAAAGTTTAAAGCAATGCAAAAATATAAAAGACTATTAGCAATGCATATCACTTTCTAAAGAACTGCTAGAACCACAGAAACTGCAACAACAAAAAAAAATCACGACACTGATTTAATTTATAAAGCTGCTGTTAGGTGTCAAAACACTATAGTGCCTTTCCTTGGCAGACTTCATTTGTTAAAAGATACTCTTAGCTTAACTCAAAATAGTTTACCTTAGAGTCAATTATTTGATTCCTTTAACCTGATGAATCACTTAAATTGTGGAACATCCAAATTTAATTGTTATAAACCTAAATGTCATAATTTAAATCAGTCCTTCCGTGTGAAACAGGGATGTATGAACCAATAATAATTTGAACAGCACTTATTTTTAGTATGAAAATAGAAAAAAAGTACAAGAGAAAAACAAAAAATACTTTCTCCTACCAAGAAAACAGAAAAACAAACAGTAAAATAGATAAATGTTTTATTGCCAAGTACTTGAAATACTTTTCCCTTTGATTACTTGTCCTATCATCATCTCCAGCCACCTCCCCCAGCTTTTTAAAGCTGGAATGCAGAGGTATCACAAATCATGCTTCTTTTATAATTTTTGGTTTATGCAATCACCATAGGAACCAGTGAATAAATGCCTAAAGAGACAGTACACTGTCATGGATAGCTGGGGCATGTCAGGCTAGGATTCTACAGGATTACTGGATGTGCTGTGAAATCTAGGTAGAGCAAAGACCTATTCAAAGCACAACCAGGTGGACCTTGATTTGGCTTTCTTGGTAAATGAATAAGAGACTTCCCAGTTTCCTTATTTTACTTCTGGGATTGCCTTATGAATCTGGATGGCCCTGGCAATATGTAAGAATTCACATTAACCTTTTTTAGGAAGTTAGGTCTTGAATTCTAAAAGGGGATACATTCTCTGAGAGATAACTGGACTGAGAGATGAGCTATTAGTGTCTTCTTTTAAATAAATCTTTCCTAAAGTAGGATCTAATTGGTTTGTATTATGAATTCATGGAGAAGAATCTTTTCTTATGAACTATTATGACTTAATACTGATCCTATTATTAACTTTTTGCACAGTTTATAATTCAGTATAAATACGTTTTGCCAAAATAGAAAATACAAAGGTTAAAATACATTTATCCATATTGTCAATATGTTTCTGATCCCTCTGGATTTTGTCTGAGGAGACTGAAGGGAAAGGCCACAGTTTTGTGTACCTAGAAAATTTGTCAGTTGAGTTATCCTCCAGGATAAACTATTGTTGCTAAGCTGCTTTCGCATGGGGCTTTTGAGTGAGCTCCCCACGTTGGGGTATTCAGACTGGCATTAGTGCTGTCTGCTAACCTGCTGCTGGTAATTCCTCTCACCTTTGGCATCTCAGGAGAATCAGACTTTCTCTGCTGAGGATGGCTTGTCCCCTCTTGTATGGGGCCCAAAAAACACCACTGCATCTTGCTCCAAAATTTTTTTGCCCTGAGGCTAGAGATTACAAATTGTTTGTGAATGTGTCTTAGTCCATTCAGGCTACTATGATAAAACATATTAAATTGGGTAGTTTATATATACTTCTTATAGTTACAGGCTGAGATGTCCAAGATCACAATGTCAGCAGATTCAGTGTCTGGTGAGGGCTTGCTCTCTGCTTCATAGATAGCACTTTTTTGCTGCATCCTCATGTGGTGGAAGGGGCTAGCTAGCTCTCTGGAGTCTTTTTTTGTTGTTTGTTTGTTTGTTTTGTTTTGAGACAGAGTTTCCATCTTGTTGCCCAAGCTGGGGTGCTATGGCGCGATCTCAGCTCACCACAACCTCCACCTCCTGGGTTCAAGTGATTCTCCTGCCTCAGCCTCCTGAGTAGCTGGGATTACAGGCGCCCGCCACAATGCCCAGCTAATTTTGTATTTTTAGTAGAGACAGGGTTTCTCCATGTTGGTCAGGCTGGTCTCAAACTCCTGACCTCATTTGATCCGCCTGTCTCGGCCTCCCAGATTGCTGGGATTACAGGCGTAAGCCACTGCGCCAGGCCTGGAGTCTCTTTTATAAGGACACTAATCTCATTTATGTGGGGAGAGCCACCATGAGCTGATAACCTCCCAACACACCATCTCTTACTACTATCACTTCAGTATTAATGGTATTTCAGCATATGCATTTGGGGAGACACAAACATTCAGACTGAGACAGCCAAGTAAAAAGGGCTCCACAGAAAACCTCCAATCAGACTGGCACTGGAAGAATGGGGTGGGGCCTTGGGAAGTTTGCACCCTTTGCAGGGGGAGGAGTCTGGCCCCTCTTATTCCTGGGTGGCAACCTAGGATTCAGTCTGTGAGATGGGGGCTTGCTAACAGGAACCCCTCTCACTTGGCTGAGTCTTTTTCCTTTTCGCCCAATAAATTCCATAACCCCTCACCCTTCAAAGTGTCTGCAACCCTACTCTTTCCTGGATGTGTGACAAGAACCCAGTGTCTTCTACAAGAATATCACAACAGATTGAATATGAACATAAGATTTTTTATGCATAGTTCTTAGATCCAGGTTTACAAAATTCTATCATTCTCCTGCAAAACCTCCCTTTCTAAAGACTCTATCCTGAGTTAACTACCAAAAGCCAGCATCAGATCAAAACCGAGACAAACTAAATTAACTGACATTCCTTAGTTTTCTCTTCAGATTATCTTGTTTAATGAAATAAAATAATTATCATCCTTATCTCAAAATTGATCTGAAAATTTTAAGAATGGTTTGTGATTTTTATATCATGTCTTAAGAGTACTTATTAGTGTCTGAAGTATATAATTTTAGCAATTCTGTTTTAGTTTTTTCATTTCTTGATCAAAATGGATTTTAGCTGTTTTCACTTATGCTCATAATGCATCTATATGCCTTTTTACTTTTTAATATTCTAAGAACGTATTTGGTTTTGGTCTTTTGAGTTAAATTGCCTTTTTAATTTAACTTGCACAGACTTACATATCTATTATCTGTCTATAAATTGTTCTAGGGAAAAAGAAAACAAGGGAAGTCATTTTACCAATCATCCTTCCATGTCTCTTAAGAACTGAAAATGGATACATATTTTGGTTTTAACAGTCCTTCCCCAAAGACCAAAGAAAATACTACATTAGCATCCAATAGATCTGATGAATTTGATAGAGAGACTCTAAATTGGAATCTGTGAAATAAACCCCTGGAGTGTTTGACCCTTGAATATAACAGGACAGAACTGTGAAGCGTTCCTTTTGTGAGATTCAATATTCCCAGAGGCTATACTGATAATGGAGATGAATTTGGATTTTGAAGGAGGTTTTGGCAAAACAATTTTAGGCTGATTTATAAACTACTCAAGCAGTTAAATATAGTCAGAAGTTGACAGAGAGAAAAAAATGATTTTCCTCTAACTGGTGGCATCAATAAAGACCCTGTTTGAGGAAAGATGACTCATTTAAAAGAAGGCACCAATAACTTGTAAGTCAGTTGAGTTATCCTCTGGGGTAAGTGTGATATTTGCCTCTAACTTAGTGTGCTTCTTTGCAAATCTCTGCCCATGAGGAATTGGATGAAAAAATGGCAAGATGAGAGCATTATGGCATGAAAAAACCACACAGTTAGAAAATTATTCCATCGTGACTATGCCACACTGCAGCTATACAACCTGGCGCATCAGTGTTTCCTGCTCTGTAAAGTCAATGTGTTTGACTCAAGGATCTTGTGGATGCTGTGGCACCTCTATTATCAGAGTAAAAATGCTTCTCTTTATCTGCTTTTTAATAAGGCCTTTTTATACCATTTTCACTAACAGAAATGTCTCATGTTTTTAAAAGAACCCTTTGGACACAATGCTTAGGTCTAAATTCTTCCCAATAAAAGGAGAGCCTTCAGTTCCTCTATCTCCCTGAGATAATGATTAGAGGTTTGGGAAGCCTTTTAGGCAAAGGCTAGAGGGCCATCTATTTAGGGGCATCTATTAATATTTAGGAATATCAGCAGCCTATTGTGCTAGCAGTTTATTCTCTGCTCAAGGTGCAAACTACACTAGAAAATCTCGTAACTTCACTCCAGCTGTCAGATTACATCTGCCACAAACACTGTACCGTTTTTATCTAAAATGTTTCATACCCTCCAGACACTTTATGGAACTAGAAGCCAACTACATTTGCCAGACCAAATAGACAGCTTGGTGTTTCCAGCTGCAGATGAGAAGGCAGCCCAGATAATTTGCTGTTCCCTCTAATTTCTCAGGTGATACACAAAGAACACATATTTCCCCCTTTCTCCTGCCCATTTCACTTTCTATTAAGACTTTCTCACTTTCCCAGGTCTGGGGATCTTATGACATTTTCCCAGGACACCAAGATATAAAACCCCAACCAACATTGCTACTGCTAAAGTAAACTTTTGCCTGGCTTGCCAAGATTTTTGGCCAAGAAATGAGATTTCCTGAGGGTGGCATTCCTTCTGCACTACCAAAGTCTCCTTCTGAGACTTTTTGGTCAGCTTATGAAGCTTCTCAAGGCAAGTGTCTGGTTAGCATCTCCCTCCCTCCACTCTGGAAATCTTAAAGCTGAAAGAATGAATGAATGAATGGATGAATGAATGAATGAATGAGAAAGACAGAGAGAGAGAAGGAAGGAAGGAAGGAAGGAAGGAAGGAAGGAAGGAAGGAAGGAAGGAAGGAAGGAAAGAAAGAAAAGAAAAGAAAGAAGAGAGAAAGAGAGAAAGAAAGAAAGAGAGAAAGAGAGAGAGAGAGAGAGAGAGAAAGAGAGAGAGGAAGAGAAGAGAAGAAGTCCTCTTAAAAAATAGCCTGAGAAACTGGGCTATGTTGACTTTTTTTTTTTTTCTGTCAGTAGGAAATATTTATTCAACCTCACTGCTAAAAAAAAACCAAAACAAACAAACAAAAAAACCTAATAATTTCAGGAAAGCTGCTGTTTCTCGTGTTCTGATCTCCGAGCTCCCCCTTGTGCCCTGATGGGAAATTGATTCAAGAAAGAAATAAAGGTCAGCACATTTAAGCTGTAGTGTTCAAGCAGCTCCCTAAAGTAGTGGTCAGCACACTTCAGTGCGCATCACAACTCTAAATGAAGATTTATCAAACATGGCTGAAGGACTACACCCTTTAGACTGTCACATTTTAAATTAGCTTTTCATAAAACTAAAATTTGGAATACATTTTGAGAATCTGTCTCAGAAAAAAAAAAATCCAAAATGTGAGTTAAGAAAAAATCTGGTTCACAAATTTCAGTAGACATCAGAATTGCCTTGTGGTTTTTAAAAATGTTCCTATGCTCAGCATCTAAGATTCTATATTTTTAGGGAAGGCCCAGAAATTAATTTTTTAAATAGATACCCCAAGGTATTCTGCTGCAGGTCATCTTGATAAACCTGGCAAAGATAGTTTACTTCCCTAAGTGGCAGATTCCTGGAGGTCAAAGGAGAAACAAGTTTTCCTCTCCAAATAGGAAAAATTCAGTTTCTACATGCCATCGCTTAACTCCAGGAGACTATTTTCCTTATTACAATTAAAGCATCAGAACACACCTTACGAGAGTTAGAGTGATGTGTTTCCTAAAGGACAGACCTAATCTTCATTAACATCATCTACTTGAGTTAGAGGCCTGGAGGAGGCTTTGGAAGCTATTGAAGTAGACTCCCAGAGACTACAGGTTAATTGTTAGGTTCACAATATGGCCCCCAGATGTGCTGTAGTAAATAGAATAAGCACCTGAACTCAGAACTGTATGATGGCATATTAGAAAATGATGAAAGACACACTCTTTTATTGCTAGAATCTCTGACCACACCTTTCCTTGGAGGGTGGCTTGTTGCCTTGGTTCTAGCTTGGAGGCTGGCAGAGGGATCCTCTACCACAGGATGCCCTTTTATTATTATTAGGTACTACTCTTGTTGCATCCATCTCTCACCTTGAACAGGTAAAAAGAATAATTAAATCATAGGTCTATGAGAAGTGGAAACACGCAGTTGGTGAAAAGAGAATGTCAGTATGCCTTTATGCCCAAAAATAAGCCCAAAATACTGTGTTACCCCTGTAACTATTTTTAGGATACATAAGTAGTTGAAGCAATGCTTACACCACTGATTTCCAATCCTGATGTGACATAAGCAGGACAGGTTAAAATCTCCCAAGGGTTACTGTGAAACTATCAAAAACAAAATTAATATAATCATTTTCTCTTTAAAAATATATACTTTTGCTAATTTGATAGAGAAAAAAAATCTGCAAATCAAGCTATGATCCAAAGGTATCTTAACTCAGCAAAGATTAGAAATAAATAATCTGGCTGGGTGCAATGGGTCACACCTGTAATCCCAACCCAGCTTGGGAGGCTGAGAAGAGAGTCACTTGAGGCTAGGAGTTTGAGACCAGCTTGGGCAATGTAGGGAGATTCCCATCTCTACAAAAAATTTAAAAATAATAATAATTTTTAAAATAAAATATAAAGTAATAAATAATCTTCATGTTGAAAAATGAATATCTGAAAAATAAAACTGAGGAGGCATTCAAGTGTCACTCATGCTATTAAAGCAGTCTGTATTTAAGTTGACAATTCTGAGCCTACAAAATTGTTTTCTTGTTGTTTTCCCATCCAAAGCGAACTGCATTATTCAGATCTTCACTATAGAGGGCTATTGCCTTAATGCTAATTTGTGTTAAATGAAGCACATTATGTATTTTATAAGTCAGACTTACCTTGGTGATTCTGCCACCATTAATCAATAAACTGAAGAGCTAGAAATCGATAATATAAATTACCCTGGCCCCCATACCCTTCCAGAGAAAAAAGCTATGACTCAGAGGTTAGATTACTTAATCTTGATCACCCAGCTAGTTAATTGTTGATCTAGTACCATAATCAGGAAAGCTACTAATCCAGCTCTCAAGGAAATTCAGGCTAAACAATAAAATAAATACAGGGATACAAGCAATATAATTAATTTTATATTTCTTCAAGAGAATTAGACACTTAACACAAACAGGACAAGAATATGTCATACAAGAGGCTAGGAAGTCTTTAGATTGTACAAGGACCTATTTCTCTTAATACACACTCAGCACATTCCCTACAAAAAAAAAAAAAACCCTACAGATTGTTCTGTTTTCTTTCTGCTTTATGTTCATAGAGAATATGTTTTAAAATAGTAACATTCTGGAGAGTTTTTCTTCCTCATGGTAAACACAAATCATATGGAAATAAGGATACCTGGGGACTGAAATCACTCCTGCTCCAGATTTAGTAGGATTACACCTCATTTTCACAGCAGTTGATCGGCCATTAATACAAGATGTTGTTGCTGTAGAAGACCTATTGTAAGCCAAATAACATTTTTAAAAAACAGATATAATACAGATTACAAAGACAAAAATATGGGAATAATTGCTCTCAGACTTCATGAACAAATGAAAAAGAAAAATGTATTAAAGTTCACTAATTTGTAATTTTAATACAAATTCAGCTCATTTACTTTCATTGCCTATGAAAAGTTGACTACTTTCCCAGGTAAAGTGATATGTTATCATCAAAGTATTTAGTAAAGATATAATTTTAATAAAAATTATAATCAAAAATATTCTTAAGGGAACAAAGACCATGTCTACTTAGGCCAATGCTTTGATATATGAATTATAAATAATTATTGGCGAGACAATGAAATAGAGTCTCTTTACTGCCAATGTAAGTGAATACACACACACACACACACACACACACACACACACACGAGAAATTATACAAGGCTTTCAAAATATTCCATGTTTCCTACTTTTTACTATCCTTCATTTAAGAATCAGTTACTAATTATTAAGTATAAGCTACATTCTAGGAATGCTCAGGTGACATAGTTGATCTTCTCTGCCATAAGAACTCACATCTGGTATATGATTACATACCCATAATTATAAATATATGAGTATTGGTGTTCCATATATATAAGTTTCTTTTGGTTAAAATATAGTCAAGGGAAACAGCATCTTCACTTACTTATAAAAGAAATGCACATCTGGTATTTGGCTTGTTGGAACTGGGAACATATCTTCTTTTATATTAATATTTTTCAATGTGGTTTCAACTGTGACTCCTAGATGACATTTAAAAAGAAACTATTAAGCAATATGGAAAATTAGTTTTATTTGGTCTCCGTAGTTTTGAATAGAAAATAGCTTTAATGACTGTCATTTTACAATATTTACAGAAATGCTGTATTATATTAATGCATTCATGGTAAAAACAAGAAATTTTCCAAAGTCTCCAGAATGAAAGAGAAAAGATTCTACTCCCTAGTTTTGTAATTTTGCTTAAGTCTTTTCACTTCCCTGGGTCTTGTTGCCTGAATCTAATGCAAGCAGTAATTCGATAATCTACGAAGTTCGTTTCAGTTCTCTAACATCTCAAAAGTCTATTAAAATTTTCATTCTCCAGTGAATTTTATCGAATGAGTTAGGCTACTTTGCTAATACAGCTTTTTACTCATATTCAATATAGACATATTTGACAAAGCAAAAAATTTTGTGCCCTAATAATTTCCAGAAAATAACTCTGAAATTTGCTTAATCTAGTAAGCAGAAAACTAAGGCTTTTTTTCCCTGCCTCTTGTAAGCAAAATAACAGAGCCAAAACACAATAAGAGCAAACTTTGCTTCAGAGTTCCCAATCTGAGCAACCCCCACCCCAGTAACTGACCTTGGTGCTGAAAGTCAATGCTAAATTCCTCTGGAGTCTATACTATAAGCAATGTTCTCAAATCTGGCCACACATCCGAATCACCTATGAAGCTTGTTAAAACCACAGATTCCTAAGCCCCACTGTAGAGATCATAATAAATTTGATCCCTAAGAATCACCCATTAGAGAGCTAGATTCTTCTTGAAACTTATCTATGACCTCCAGGACTACAGAGACAAAAAGGGAACATGAGGAATCAAACTCAGCACCCTCACCTTTGCTGTTTGTCACCTGCTTCCTTTTGGTATGAGAAAAGGTGATGGAAACTGGTGGCATATAAATAATTTAGGTGTAGTTGTGTTTGTTTACTATTCCTATTTTGTTTTTAGTTTTGATTTTTAAAATTGGTTTGCCTCTTAAAGTTCTAGAAAGTCTGATGACAGGCATAGACCCTCAGAAAATGTCATACTTATATATGAATTAATACATAAATGCAGAAGCTTCTCAGAGACTAATCAATAGTCCCCACTAGTAGGAGCTTTTTAACCATCTTACAAAGTGACAATTTAAAATTACCTGTGGGGGCCTTAATCATCTATAGCAAACACCAATACAATGACAAGTTATTCATAGCATAATTTAAGAATAAATGTATGCATGCATATATGAACCAAAGGAAGCTTACCTATGAATGTATCTGCCAGAATGATGGATTGTGATGATAAGGCTGCTCGGAAACCCTTACTTTCAGAAGGAATAATTGTTGACTGGCATACAAATGCCCCTACCAAATTTGTGTAATCATCTGACCCTGCCACTATTTCTTTTACTGTAAAGTCTGTTATATTGTTGGTACAGAGAGCCATCTTCTTCCCCTAGGAAAATAAAGTCATAAAAGAAAGGTTTTATTGGATGTCAATCTCTAAACTTAATCTTGACTAGCTAGTGACCCTAGAAGAGCAGTGGCTCTCTCCTCACTGCAAGGATTCTGATTTAGTTGATCTGGTATGAGGCCTAGCCACCCATCAGTACTTTTTAAAAGCTCTCAAGGAAAGTCCAATATTCAACCAAACTTCAGAGTCTACAGTTATAACAAATACAGTAATTCAAGACTATACTGCTCTTCCCAGTACAAGCATCATTTGTGATAAATGAAAGTCATCAAACTTGAGAAAATAAAAGTAATCTATGAAATGTTCAATTCATAGAGTAACAATGCATGCAAAAAGACCAGAAAACTGCTGATGAAAGCTTCAGTGTCAAAGAAAAAGTGTTGGTCTTCCTTTTCCTTTATGACCCTATGTGTAGCAGAAAGGTAATGTGAAGGCTAAAGAAGAAAGCACAAAAGTCATACTGCAGCAAAATTCTAGAATAACACCTGAATTCTAAATAATTGGTCACTACAAGTGTCTTTATTAACCTACTCTTAGTTTCAATGATGTGTATCTGTTCAACTGTATAACAAGTTAAAGGTAATAGAGAGATTAGCTTTTTTAATAATTTTGAAAATAATTGGAAGATATAACTTATAAAAAATGGAAAAATTGTTTAAATATAATATGTTTAAATTTACTGTAGTCCTACTGCAAAAGACTATAGCTTGCTCCATAATTTCTACAAAGTAAATGTAAAAATAATACAGGAAAACTATTTCATTGGTGTTAGATATAGAGTGTACACAGATGTGTAAAAAGAAAAGTATAAAAGTTTATCTTTCTTAATGCAGCTAGCAGACCTAACCTATAAATTTTTCTCCTGCTACCAGGCCTTCTGACAATAGGCCTTCTCACCAGTATATTTTTTTTACTAGGCTTAAATTAAAATGTTGAAGCCAATAAAAAATAATGGAAAAGATCAGAGAAAAGGTACTGGGGAAAGAAAAAGGAAAATAGTGGAAGCTAAAAGGAAAGAAACAAGAATAAAAAGGAAGGAAAGAGATAGAAGCTAGAGGTGAAGAGAAGAGAAGGTGGAAAAAGAGGTAGTGCTAATGTACAATAAGATTGTGATAGAAGTATGGTAGACAATGGAATTAATCTTATTCACTGCTTCCCACAGTATCTGGCACATAACAGGTATTTAATTTATATTTATTGAGTGAACTGAGTAACCAATCTAGTGAGTGTCTTGGATCACCCCAGGTAAAATCAAAACAGGACAGCTGTCATACTATGTAAAATTTTATGGATCTTTTTGTTTGAAAACTTCTGTGGTCATCAGATCTCTTTTTGTTTCCTTTGTTCAAAGCTTTGCACAGTATCTCATAATGAAGACAATTGAAAATATAGGAGTTAATATGGGAAGTGACATGGAGGAAATGCCTTATCCTGTTCCTACTCTGTAGGTATATACCTATACATACTTCCCAACCCTAACCTCATATGTCCATTAAAATATTGGGCATCATGGTCCTGTAACCTCTCCCCATTGCCAGTATCAATTAAGATTCCTCTTCTTCTCACAGCAAATAAAATCCCATTTGTATGATTTAAGCCTACCTTATCAACTGATATTTGGCCCTGCATGTCTCCTTTTTATTTTGGACAAGCTTCCTCTTGAAAGTCTTTTTCTTCTTAAAACACAAAATTGACAACATAAACAACAGTAAAACTTTCTCAAATAACTTCCTGCCTAAAGAGGTAAGATTGACAACCCTGACCCATTTTTATGAAAACAAAACATCCTCAAAGCACTTACACCATAGCTCCAAGCTTCAGGTTTCAACTGACTGCATAAGTGATTTGATACACTGAGAACCAGACAAGGTTGCCCCTGGTGGAGAAATCTGCCAATATTCTAGGCAGCAATAGAGGATCTAAGCAATCAAACCTCAGTTTCTGACACTTGGTTGATATCCATAGAGAATTTATTGGTCCATTAACACAGAAAATATCAACTTGATCGGAGCTGAAATATAGGTCCATCTCACCTTGACAGCCAGAACTCACCTCATGCCCACATAAACTGATATTGAAGAAATGGAAGTATTTTGTTCCTTTGGAGGTGAAGCTGGGGCCATTCATTAATGAGCCCACACTGCTGAGGTTGCTAAAGTCATAGTGCAAACTCTGATTTTCTTTTTCATGGTAGAAAAAGCAGTCACTATAGCAAACCGAATGGTCCTTTGATTAAAGATAAAGAAACAATATAGCAGGAAAGAAAATATTAGCTGCTACTAAAATGTGTTTGAAAAAAGTTCTAGGTATAAAAACTATTCCAGTAATTTAGTCTTAGCTATAATATACTTTACCATACTAATATAAAGAATTTCTAAACTCTAACTAGATTTTTCTAAACAAAGTTCAGAAAATTCAGAATCTTTTAAAGACAGAGTAAAGTTATCCTCAAGTTTGTTCCTTGTAGAAAGGTATTTTAAGAAATAGCCAAAATTCTGTTACGTAAATTTAAACAGACAGTAAAAGTGCTTTGTCCTTCACTCATAATATGGCATCAATCTTTGCCATTCAAAATTATAAGAAACACTAGCTGTTCCCAGATGACTGCTATAGCCAGCCTATAGATAGGTAGTTTATTTGCTGTACCTAAACAATACACAAGAAATCAGTTTTAATATTTTGGAAAAGCATTCTTATTTGGGAGCTTTTAATATTTTATGTCACCAGTAACTAGTACTTTCATAGCATACAGTAAGTGTTTAATAAACGCAAGAAGGGAGAAAACAGAAATGGTAAGTAGAAAGTCTTATTTCAGAATAAATAGCAACCTCATAGCTCCCAGAGAAACATTAAGGAGAACGCTTGAATTTCTCTATTAAAATGTGCTTTCATGGGGATACCTGAAATGCAGACCCACTTACCTGATTGTTTTTACTCCCAGGCCCGCATGGAATACAAGCCTCTTTGCCATAGACCTGATGTATGGACAGGTAGGTGTCAGGTGGACATTCCTTGCACTGGTTGGTTTCTTTCTCAATGTAGTGGCCTGGAGGGCAGGGGACACACGATGAACCCGACTGTTCAGAACCGAGGGCACAGGCACGGCATGAGGACGCCACCCCATCAACTGCATTAGTGGCTGTGATAGAATAAATCTTCACCATGTCATTGATGAACCGTCTATTCTAAAAAAAAGAGCATAAAGTAATGACTTCTGCCTTGGGGCTTAGTTGTACAACCAGATTATGTCTTCTGTTGACATCATCAAAATAACTAAATAGAGTGTTCCAGCCTAATAGTTTGTAATTGACAATAGATTAATATCACTGCTATTTGGTTCTTCTTTTAAAAAATCTTAAATCTTGATACTAGAAACTAATTTCTGCAATAATATAGTTCCAGGAGTTTTGCCACAATTACTGTGAGATCTGTCACAATTAGTATAAATTAGGATGCAATTATAGACCTCATATCTAGAAGAACTAGTATAGTTTAAGAGAGGAACAGTTTTTATCTCCCATCATCATTTATTCACATCTTAGCCTAAATCAAATGATACAATAGGAGGTTGAAAGTGCGGCAGGGTAGAAATGCCTTGGAATGGGGATGAGAAAATCTTGGAAGACTAGGACCTCTAGTCATACACAAACATTAACTGTGCTAAATCAATGCAATCACACCATTTCATTGAGTCTTCCTTTCCTTCTCCAGTCCTTTCCCTAATCAACATACAGAAAAGATGTGGACTAGAGAGCAAAAACCTGGGTCTTATTATGTTTTTCCTCCTTGTAACACTGAGTCACTTTAAGGTCTGGTTTTAATTAAGCAGTTGGCGTCACTCTATCGGTACAGAGCAGTGTTACTCCAGACTACTTAATGCTTTTTGTCTGGGACAAAGATAAATGGAAGGCAAGGAAAGATTCCACAGCATGTTCACGCCCCACAGGATGGTTATCTTAACCTTCATAAGGAATAACTGGAGTCAAGTACAATCTGGGGAATTTATTCCCCACTGAAAGCCTGAAGAGAAGAAGAGAAAATGCCATACATTGCCACCATAGCATTACGGCCACTTTTGAACAAGTGGTTTATCTTGTTCTCACCTTGGGAAGGTTACATCTATAGAGATCCACAAAATAAGTCCTGCTACTATTGAAACATATGGTACAATGGATATACTTAGGGGAGGAATAGGTCTATTCTGGCAGGGAAAATAAAAGAAAGGAAATGATTTTGTGTGTTAACTCAATGGTGGGTACATACACATTCTCCAGGCTGTAAAAGGAAATATTACTGTAACAAAAAAATAAAATGACACTAGTTAATGGCTCTTAAACATTAGATGACTCAGATGAAGATGAAGAAAGTTGCCCATCTTCACAAAGCCTCAGAAAGCTTTAAAAACAAGTTATTTTTAGAGAACTGCAAAATTAGATTTTCCTTCTCATAAGTTTCCAAAAACTGTATTTGTTCAGAGTGAAGAACAATTCAAAGACATGTTGTTATTTTATTCCATACATTCTTACTCTCAAAAAATAAAAAATTATCATTTTATACCACTGAATCTATAACCAGATTATTCATTCCATATTTTTTAAAAAGCAGTCCTTTCTTCCAAATTTGAGTTATCACTTTGTATGCATCTCCACAAGGGGGCATCATTAGTGTGTTTAAAATTTTAAAAAAAAGTGCTTGGAACTTACATCTTGACCCTGATTAGTTCTCTGGAATGCCCATGTAAATGTAAAAGTTGCATTCTTGAAGATGATATGGGTGTAAGCTTGTTTTTCTTTGGTTCCACCCCACGATTCTACCACATTTGTACTTTTTCTATTAATATCCTGAAATATAGTGGAAAAACTATATTCAAATAAAGCACAAACTCAACATTAATATACCTGTGTATATATTACAAATGTATTCATATTTAAAGTAAACCCATTACAGTTTATGACTATTTACAAACAGAGCATGTAATCCCAGAACTCTTAAAACTTGCCTTCAAGTCTGCACAGGCACCTCACTCAGTAATCACAATATATCAACCACATTGTTCATATAACTTGAAAGAGGTCTCAAATCATAATATGTTTAAGGGTTGGGGTTTTTTTTGTTTTTATTTTCTATTTTTGTTTCATGTGTGTGATCTGGCTTGGGATATATACTTAGAAGAGGAAACATAACTCCTCAAACTTCTTACAATAAACTTCTAAAGTTATCATTGAATGGAAAGCCTTCAAATTTTTTATCTTTTTCCTTCAGAGATTCTGATAGGGAGCTCTTACATAGGAATTCCAAGTTCCCCTGAATTATACTTGCAAGTTCCAGGGTGACTTTATCCAAGTGCATGTTAAGCAGAATGTTATTTAATGTTCATGAAATCCTCTCTTGCTTATACTTGACTTCCAAAAGGTTTAATTTATATTTTATTTATTATTTATTTAACTAAATTCAAGATAATATTAAAATCACACAAATTTGTGATATTCCAACTGATATGCTGTCATTAACATGACTGGAAAGCAAATATTAATAAGTTGACCAGATAATGTAACATACATCTAATTTATATAAAAAGAAAACCAAGCCTAAACTCTGAATTTTCTAATTTTCCTGGCAGAAATCCTGATAGATCACTTAGGAATTTGGATGGGCTTCCATTAGTTATCTGGGATGCCGGCAATAAGGTTTCATGAGCTCAAGACAAGTCTCTTTGTTTTTCATCCTTTGATAATACAGGAATCAAACATGTGATAAAGTAACCAAATATGCTCTAAAGAGACACATCCTGAGTTCACACCACAGATAGGAATAACAGAAAATGCTCATCATACATTATAGAAATCCTCATGTAACCAAACAATGAAATCATCATTCCCAAAAAGCAGTTCATAATATATTGATGGTGCTTCATTAAACATCATTATGGGTTATAATAATTGAAATTTAATGCATTAGTGCACATAATATCACCTTACATTTGTGAAGCACTACATGATATTCAAAGCATTTTATATATTATTTGGTTTGAGATCTCCAAAAGTCCTGTGAGAAGATCATCACACAAAGAGGAAAGAAAATGGCAGACTTTGCCAAAAGCTGAAAGCTCTAGGATTGATTCCTCAATACAAATATCATAAGATCCCTACTCTCAGGGATGCCTGGTCAAGTGGGAGAGACAAAAACATAAATAAGTTCACATAATTAAAGCAGGGATTTTTCAAAGGGTTTTAGAAGCACACTGGAGAGAGTGGCTAACTTGACTGAAAGGAGTAAGAGAGAGCTTCTGAGAAAAGGTGAAGTTTGAGCTGCTACTGAAGTATGATTGGAGTTCATCAGACAAAACAGCAAAAGGAAAAATGTCATTCTAGCTTAGAGTGTCAACACATAGGGAATGAAAAAGTACAGAGTGTTCCACTAATACCAACAAATTCAGGTGACTAAAGAAAGGTGAGTCATAAAAGCAGGTTTGGAAACA
Organism: Homo sapiens; assembly: GCF_000001405.40. Taxonomy (NCBI): domain Eukaryota; kingdom Metazoa; phylum Chordata; class Mammalia; order Primates; family Hominidae; genus Homo; species Homo sapiens. The sequence continues at coordinate 86,916,498 of NC_000007.14, forward strand.
GAGGCTGGGGAAAGAAAGAGCCATAAAGACGCCATGTTACAGAATTTGAAGTGTATTCAGAGGCTGTTGGTTCTTAAACTCTAAAGTATTTCAGAACCACCCACAATGCTTGCTAAAATACAGATTGCTGTGACCACAGAGTTTCTTATTCAGTAAGACTAAGCTGAGACCCAGAAATGTGCATTTCTAACAATTTCCAAGGGGACCCAGGTGGTGCTGGTCCAGGGTCCACACTTTAAGAATCACTGCTATAGGCCATAAAAAGCACCAAGGGAAGGGATAGCTTTGTTGTTCAAGCCTCTACTGTTGAATTTTGGGGTGTCTTCTTTGTTTTGTTTTTGAGACAGGGCCTGTTGCCCAGACTGCAGTGTAGTGGCATGATCATGTAGCTAGGATTAAAGCTCCCAAGTAGCTCAAAGTAGCTAGGATTAAAGGCATGCGCCATTGTGGCCAGCTAATTTTTTTTTTTTTTTTTTTTTTTTTTTTTGGGTAGAGATGGGGTTTTGCCATGTTGCCCAGGCTGCTCTCAAACACCTGGGCTCAAACAATCCACCCACCTCAGCTTCCCAAAGTGCTGGGATTACAGAACTGAGCCATCACGCCAGCCTCTACTGTTCCTTTTATGTTTAAGGATAATTTTAGTTGGGCGCGGTGACTCACACCTGTAATCCCAGCACTTTGGGAGGCCAAAATGGGCAGATGACCTGAGGTCAGGAGTTCAAGAACAGCCTGGCCAACATGGTGAAACTTCATCTCTACTAAAAATACAAAAATTAGCTAGACGTATGGGGCATGCCTGTAAATCCAGCTACTCAGAAGACAGGCAGGAGAATCACTTGAACTCAGGAGGCAGAGGTTGCAGTGAGCCGAGATCGCACCACTGCACTCCAGCCTGGGCAACAGAGTGAGACTTTGTCTCCAAAAAGAAAAAATAATAATTTTGACAGCAGTATAGATGAAAGAGTAGAGATGAGAAGAACGTATAGGAGACTACTGAATAATCCTGTTAAGAGATAATATTAGTCTGCATTTCAGCAATGGCACTGAGTATGAGAAGAACAGACTAAAGAAATAAGGAGGCAGACTTGGGAGAATTGAAGACTTACGGGTTATTTGTGATATAGATGGCTGTGTTGAAGATTATTCATGATCTTTTACTGCCACAAAGTGGATACTTTTTTTCAGAAACAAAGTCTGCCTTCATTTAAGCTATCAGTAATCACAAATAAATGTTTAAGTCTCCTCACATTTTACATATCACGGAGAAAACTGTTAATAAACTGTTAACTGGCTACTAAAAGGTCATTGGGAAAAAAAAACACAAAAACAAAGCAGGTCTGTGAAGTAACTATTTAATTGTAATGTTAAACTCTTAGCCAACAAACTTCTAAATCTCACATAAGGTCTTAGCAAATTTCATGGTGATACTTTCCTCAAGCTAAGAGTAGAGATTTGTATGACATCTAGAAAAGAAATGGGCAAAATTATGACATGAGCATAGTACTCTTTTTCTAAATGCTCTCTTCTCAATGTTCTACATCTCCATTATTTTCTGCTCTTACTTATTAGTACAATGTTTTTTCTTTCCGGATAGTTCAAATAGCTGAATGGTTATCAGGTGAGAATTTTCATTCTGCTGGTGACGTTTTTATGAAGGAATTTTTTTTTTTACCAGATTAATATTCCCTGGCCTCTATCAGTCACCCAAGCTCCCTCACTTAGTCTTTCCCATGAGGAATAAACACTTTATTTGTGGACTTCATTGCACAATTCTTAATTATTTCTTCAGACATTTGTTAATGTTTGTGAAAGGTGCTAAGAATAGCAAAAAAAAAAAAAAAAAAAAAAAAGGAATTCTTATCCCAACTTGCCACAAATAAATTTACACTTGAAGGAGAATGCTAAGCTTAGAAATCTGCCTTTGAAAGCCGCCCGTCCACTTACCACCATGAAGTACAAAACACAGTCAGCTGAACAGAGGGTCTCAAAGACAAATGTTATTCTTCCTAGTTCAGAACCCGTGGCTCCAGTCATAGATGTTGGTGGTCTATTTGACAGATTAAAATGGCAATATTTATACTATGTTCTAAATACAATTTAGAATAAAATTAAGCCACTATTTTTATTAAACTAAAAGCCATGCTCTTCTCTTCCTCTAATCTACCACTTCCCTCACCCACAACTCCTTCCTCACTTAATCATACCTGTCCACACCCTTTGTAGACATTGAGTCCACATAACGATGGTAATATGCTTGAACCTCTTGCTGTAAATGATACCATCCATCCTAAAGGAAAAGATTCCTACTGGGTAATTTCAACACGGGGAACTAAAATGAAATGGGATTAAGAAATTTCTAACATACTATTTTACCAAGAGAACTGAGAAAAAATAGATAAATAAACCAAAAGATACTCCTGCAAACAACTTGGACTGACCTCTTCATTAAGCATCCAAGAATCAAAGTTATGGTAGCATTTGGACACACTATTGTTTAAATTTTTCAGCTTTATCTAAGTAATATATAACTAACATTTATAGTTTCTCAATCACTACTTCTACAGATATTCTTCAATATAATACATTACCCTGTGACAGCTTGTTATTTACTAAGTATTTTTGTAATATTAATATGTTCCATAAAGTAGCCCTACTTCTTTATTTCTGTGGGGAAACAGGTGTAAGGATTCTTACAGAAAAGAATTAGAATTGTTTTCCTTACTTAAATCCTGGGATATGCAAGTTTAAGATCAGGTAATCATTGTCAGAACCTCCAGCCCCACTCTGGATATGATCTCCAGCCACCTCCCAACCTAGAAGTAATAAAAGTCATTTTTATTAATAAAAATTCCATTAATGATCTCCAACAATCTGTTTAAATAAGGTAAAAATAAAAAGAAGCATTAGTGTTTCTGTTCAAAGTTAGAAATGCTACAAATGAATTCCCTATTTTTAATCACAGTCGCAAATTTCATCCCGAGGTAGATGTTCCAAGAGGAACCAAGCAATGCATTATTTTGAATAAAAGATACTTAATGGGATAACAACAGTTTTCTCAATGAAGCATGATTTGTATTTTAACTAAAACAGATGGTCTCTATCTACTCTAATATATTGAGATGAACAATCCTAGTCTTCAGGCAACCAATGTGCAATAGAAACTTCAAATTACTTAACAGAAAAGATTTGGGACCTGAGGTTCATTCTTACAGTTTGCTGTACTGTTGTTCCCTAATTTAACCCCTGTTCTGCATTCATTCACTTATTTATTCAACTAGCATTTACTGAGTGCCAAGAACTATGACATGCACTGGGATAGGAAGGTAAGACAAAGTCCCCCTCACTGAGGAGTCTGTAGAACATGAGAGACAGACACAAACAACTGTCAACAGTATAGAGCTGTGCACAGAGAACCATTATGAGGTCCGTCTTCTGCAAAGTAACAATCAATATAAACTGAAATGGCCACAGTAAAATGAGGAAGAGAGAGGCCTCTCCAACATAACATCAAGCAAGGTTATTAATTAATGGCAATACCTCAGCATTGGCATTTCCATCTCTAAAAGAAAATATCAGTATCTGCCACTGCAAGAGGTAAAAGACAGAAATTAAGGAAGAGCCTGGTTCAGTGCTAGACTGACTTGGCGATTTTTGAAATGTTATAATCAACAATTTATACAGAGATGATATGTTGACTATACATCAGTCAAGCTAGTCTTAAAAATAATATGTACTAATCTACATACTTATAAGACAGATGTCCATTGTTTGGCTATCTAATGTGGTTGAAAAGAGAGATAAGCAGGTATAGAATTCTAAGAGTTGAATAGCCATAAAGCAGTCTGACCCAGTGGGACAACAGGCCCTTGACTGCAGTATAAGCAATATGAGAGGCACTTAGGTTTAAAGAGACTGTAAACTTCCAGTAGGGATAAAAAGCAGAAGGATATTCCCACATGGAGCAATTCTATACCAAGAAAGGGAGGACTTTATGAAATGTTTCTCTCAGAACAACTCCTAGTGTTCAGAAAGGCATGAGGAGGGATAGAATAGCAGGGAAGGGCAAAGAAAAGAAGGCAGTACAAGGATGGTAAAGAGAGCTAAGTTTGGAGGATTAATACCCTCGCAGGAGGAAACAAACATTTCCCATGTTTGAATATCACTTGTTGAGAGATCCCCAATGTCCTCCACTTTTTCCTCTGTCCTGAGAAACAGAGTGTCTTGACCCCTTTGAGACCTGGCCAGTGGCATGTCCTCTCCATTACCTGCAGGCTTGACCCCAAGCCAGGGCCTTGAACATTCCCAGGCACTGATAGAGGTGTTTAGGTTGTTGTCTAAAATACTGAAAGAAACTAGCCCCAGCCTTGAGCCAAACTCCTCAAACCCTCATCTCAACTCTACAACCCGACTCCCCTCATTCCAGACACACCTCAGTAGAACATTCCTTGTCTTACTGTCCATTGTGAGGTATGTTACAGGCCTCTCTGTAGGTAAATTCCCCTAATAAATGCTTTGGACTGATCACTGTGGTGTTCAGTGCTTCTTTTGTTGAAATCCCAACTGACCCTGTCTCAGGACAGTTTAGGGAAGTTCCTTTTGGGAGCACCCCTGCCAGCCACTTTTGGAGCAACTCCAGCCACAGGTTTGGCTGAACAGAACACTTGTTGTTATGCATTGACTATGTCCCTAAGAAAAGATATGTTGAAATCTCCACCACCAATACCCATAAATGGGACCTTATTTGGAAATAAAGACTCTATAGATATAATCAAATTAAGATGAGGTTATAAGGATGGGCCTTAATCCAAAATGACTGGTGTCCTTATGAGGGGAGGAAAATACGGTCACAGATGTAGACACACAGGGAGAGGATCATTTGAAGACACAGAGACACACAGACCCAGAGGGAGGACGGCCCTTTGAAGATGGAGGCAGAGACTAGAGTTAGGCTGTCACAAGTCAAGGAATTCCTGGGGCTACCAGAAGCTAGAAAAGGCAAGAAGGGATATTCCCCTAAAGGCTTCAGAGAGAACATAGCCCTGCCCACACCTTGATTTCAGACTTCTGGCCTCTAGAACTCTGAGAGAATACTTTTCTGTTGTTTGAAGCCACCCAGTTTGTGGCACTCTGTTGCAGGAGCCCTAAGAAATTAAACACTCATGATACCCTTAGCAGGAAAAACACCAAAGAAAAGAAATAAAAGAATCTACTGCTCTGAACCCCCTGACTCAGAACTCCAGACTGCCAACGTGAGAGCAGAGCTGTATGTGGAAAGACACACGCAGGGTAATGTACTGGACAAGAAATGCAGGAGGACAATGGCGTCAAAGGGAAACCAGATGGCTAGTACCAAATCAATATAAGTGCCTTAAGGGATAGACCACTGCTATCCAATTGAGAAATATGTGAGCCACACCTGTGAGTTTAAATGTTCTAAGGACCACATTTTATAATGTAAAAAGAAAGAAGTGAAATTTTAATATATTTTATTTAACCCAATATACACAGAATATCATAATTTTGACATGTCATCAATATAAAAATTAAGATTTTTTTTTCCTATCAACCAGGGCATATCAAAGTCAGTAGAAAACCTAGGAAATACTGCCTTTTACTGTGCCCTGGTTGTTATTTTTATCCTTTCTCAAGCATAAAAACTATATGGAACAGTGTCAACCAGAATGTTGATTTCAAAAACATTTACTTCTAACCTAACACCTAACAGCTATTATAATTTTTATACATTCCCTTCTAGTCTTTGTCCATAGGCACAGTTTAATAATGGTATACATAATTTTGTATTTTCTTTTTTCCATAAGAGTGAATCTCATATTTTCCATGTTTCTGTGTATATTTTATATTTTAAGATTATTTTGTATTTAAAAATCATACTTATATTTATCATAAAAATTTTAAATTTTAAAGACAAATTTAAAAGTTGAAACCTAAAATTACTTATAACTTCATTACCTAGAAAAAAAACACCATTAACATGCTGTGATGTTTCTTTTCACTTTCTTTCAACGCATACATGTTTTTACATCACTGAGCTTTTATTATAGATAATTTTGTATCATGCTTTTATAAATTAACATTATTTCATAAGCACTTTTATAAATACTTCATAAACATGTTAATGACTGAAATAATATTTTATTATTCAGCTAAATATAATTTGCATAATTCACCAAATCGCTCCCACTACAGGACTTATCTACTGTTGATTACACATCCATTTTAACCATTTGGTTTGTTTTTACCTTTAAGTAACATAATATAAACTATAATAAACATATTTTTGTAAAGCTTTTCTATATATTCAATATTTTTCTAAAAAGGAATACCAATAAAAGAGTTATTGAGTCAAATGAATATATTTTTAAATCAATATTGTGTTACTATTCTGATTTTGAAAGCAATGAGTGTCTATAAGGAATATTAAATACAGTAAACCAAATTTAAAAATAAAGTAATTCATATTTCACATAAACCTCCCATCTCCAAGGAATAGCCTTTTAACATTCTTTTTAGTATTTGTCTAGTGTATACTTTTAAAATATATAACTTAGATTTTACTATATAATCTATTTCCTGTTTTTCTTTCATTTAGCATGGTCTTCTGATTTTTCTGATCATCATTCTATGAAAAATATTACCCCTTTGAGGTAAATAGCAATTAGTTAATGGGCGCAAAAATACAGTTAAATACAAGAAATAAGATCTAGTGTTCAATATACAGTAGGGTGTAGTTAGTAGTTTTTTGTGTTGCTCAAAATAGCTAGAAGAATTAGAATGTCCCCAACATTAAAAAGATTGTTTGAGATGATAATATCCCATTACCCTTATTTGATCATTCCACATTTTGGAATATATCAAAATATCACACGTACCCCCAAAATATATAAAACTATTATGTATCATTAAAAAACCACTAAAAATCCTCTGCACATCTAATTTTAATAACTTAACAATGTTACATAGCTATATCATAATTTTATTTAACCATACCCCATTATTGAAAATTTAGTTTTCTCCTATTTTTCACTCTTATAAATAACTCTAAAATTAATATTTTTTGTGCATAATTTTTCTTTACATCACACTGTTTCCTTGGTATAATCCTCATAAGTGGTATTTTTGGCTTGGAGAATAGGAACTTTCTAAATTTCTGAAACTTTGCCAAATTGTTTTCTGTACAACTTGCACATAATGATTGCATAATATTTCATTCCATTAGGGTAATATAACTTTTGTAAACATTATCCTATTTTTGGATATTTCAATTATTTCAATTTTTGTTGTTATAGATAAAGCCCAATGAACATCTTCATGAATAAAAACTACTTGTCTCCAGCTTTGAATTCCTCTTAGGCAAATTTTAGCACATGAAGATTTGCTTCTACATACCTGTTCTGTAACTGTGTGAAAATCAGACCAAGACTACATGAATCTCAAAGCACTCCAAATCATACAGTCAAGTTGGGCAAAGCACACTTGCTTTAACTCCATGCCTTAGTGGGTGACTATCCCAGGGGACAGGCTGCCCCTGTGCCTCTCCATTTCACCCTCGTTCTTGTGAGTGCTGCTCCTCACAAGGTTGGCTACTGGACCAGCCAGTCACAAAATATACATCACCTTTTATCTTTGTAGTTTTTACATTACTGTTTACCATTTCAATGCCACACACTAATACTGCAGAGATTTATACTTTTCATTTAATCATTGATCATTACTGAAAACTAAGCAAAATTTAAAAATAGACTCTCAGTAAATGAGTAAGCAAGTGGGTAAATCAAGTATTTCCAGAGTTTAAGCTATGAATAAGTCCTCTATAAGATCCAATTAAAGTTTCAGGTAATCTTTACTAGTAAGTGAATACACACACACACACACACACACACACACACACAAATGTATTAGTCCTTTTATAGAGTTATTCTATACCCTTGCCTTCCCAATCTTATTTTCCCAATAGGACTTAATTTTCTCAATTTAAAATTCAATTATAGGACATTTTAGGAAAAAAAAAACCTTCAGGGTCAAGTAACAGCTATTATATCTTATTCTTCTTCTCTCTGAGGATTTTTTAAGTGGGATTGTTGGTCAATAATGAAGACTAGCTCACATTTAATATATATACTGAGGCTTTGTCTTTTCCTCTTTCACTCATCTGTTTAACATTATTCAAAAACCTATTATTTGTCAATCTCTGTGCTCATGTATACACCTCACTTCCTATGACTCAAGCTTTTTTTTTTGAATAGATATTGATTTAAAACGTATGTGTTAAAAAGCACACACATACGTGTTTACAATAATTAAACATAATATAGAGAAAAGTGAGCAGATAAAAAATGCCAGTGAGGTTATAAGTAAAGGATGCATTTTAGTGTAAAGGTCTGGTATATACAATACCTACCCGTAGCATAAAGTTTAAAAATACATATATTCATTCAACCATCACATACTGCAGAACAAGTAAATTCCAAGCCCTCTAGGCACTTAAAAGGTAAGAGCAAATACAAATCAACAACTGTTCTGTAGAACTCTGCCACATTTTCAAATTTTCAATAGGTAGAATTCATATATACTTTGTAAATACAATCATAGACTTGACAGGCAAGGGGAATTTGAAGTTAGTTAACCCCTCACCAGGGCACAGTGCTGAGCCAGACTAATCAAGACAGAAATCCCATCATGCTACTCTTTAAAATGGTAAAGAACATAGATTTCATCCCCCTCCTTGGTAAATCTATTCTGGCATTTATACCCATAAATGATGATTCTCAGCATCTACTTCAATACTGCCTAAAAAAAATGCAAAATTAATAGTTTGTTCTTCTATGAATGTCACCTGGCTGTGACACCACATTTACTATTTTTATGGTACAACCAGAAGATGGGCAAGCAGCCAAATGATAAGATTGAAGTTCCTCATACCCATACTTGGTATGTTTTAGAGAGCTAAGTTCAAGAATGAATGATGTCTCTATTGCTGAAATACATCAAGTAGGCTGATTTTGAACTTACCATTCATTCCATCGCACTTTGAATTCCCAACATTGAAGCAGGAAGTTTTCATGTTGCCAGGAAGGACATTCCACCATTTATATTCAAAGCCAAGTGCAGGCTCCGTTCCTGCTGGACATGGTCTACATTCTACAGGAGACAAGTAGGGTCAACAATTAAAATTAAACTGCATATGGACAACTTCTACTTTCTCTGTTCCAAACACACTACATTACAATTAGCAGGGAGAGAAGTGGAAAAAAAAGATATTGGACTACCAGTTCCCTCAGGATGTACTAACTTTTTCAAAAGAAATCTGAAAAGAACAAAATTCTAGATATATTATACATACATACATATACTTGACTAAAATGAAAAAGGAAAAGGACAGAAACAAAATCTTTAAAAATAATTTTTTCCTTCACATCTGGGAGTAGCTGCTAATACTTAATTACCCTCCATAAAAAGAGTAACTATGAAACAAGTTCAAGTTCTCCTGCATGTGACCTTAGAATCAGTTCTTCCACCTTATGAATAAAGAAAGATTTCACTCTTCCTATTGGTTATTCAACTTAACAGAATATTAATACCATTTATGAACTGATTAATTCAAATTCAAAATATTGACTATGTTGAGAATGGTTGGGTGTTGAGGGGCTGGGAAAGTGCTGGGTTTATAAATAAGCCTGATTTAAATTGACATCTGCAAAATTGAAAGAGAAGGGTCTTTTCCAACCATTTAGAAATGTAGCCACTTCGCATCATCACATCAGTAAGAAAAGGAGTAGGGAAAGAAAATATTTCACAAACATTTATACCTGCTGCAAAAGTACTACAGAAGGCATGTTTAAATGTCCTTCTCAATGATGATGAGCCAGATATTATCCACCATCCTACAGACAAGAAAATTGAGCTTCAAAAAGTTTAAACAACTTGGATAAATCACACTATTGGTAGCATGGGGGACATAGATTCAAATCCAAGTCAGTTTGCCTTCAGAGTCCTTTTTATGCTATCTCTCAAAGGCTCTGGATAGTAAGTATACAACATGGCTATATTCAAGCCATCTATCTGCAACTAAAATATTACAGTTGACTGCAATTTTTGTCTACTAAAACTAAAAGAAATTCTGTAACCACTTTCCATAAAAACAATTTAGAAAATGGTCACAGTAGTCCAACAAGATCATTTTGCTAAAGGCCCAGTTATTGGACCAATTGACATCCTACCTTTGGTTCCATCTGAAAATGTTCCAGGAGGACAGGGATGGCAAGAAGATGATCCATTGTTATAAAATCCAGGGTTGCAAGGCGGACAATCCTTCTTCTCTCCAGAAGGGGGCAATCTAATAGCATCTGTGAGATCCTCCCGGCAGATTTTGGGCTCTATCCACTTGTACATTATCTGTGTCTACAAAAAAAAAAAAAAAAAAAAAGCAACCAAGTCATATAACATGCTTATAACAAAAATCTTAAACTGGCAGTATAGGAAAAGTACAAATGGTGACAGAATAGAAGGGCCAGCTGACAGAATCTAAAACATCAGTGACAAAATGAGAGAAAAGAGAGAACATTGGTGGGGAAATGACTGTTACTTCCAAATGCTTTTACCCTAAGCTATAGGTGGCCTTCCCTCGTACACAGCATGTTCCTCATCATGAAATAACTCTTTAAAATGTAGGTAACCTGTTTATCACCCTTACTCTTCTATCCATTCATTTACTTTATTCCATAGCTGACATAAGTTTCTACGCAGCAACTTGCTTTTTCATTTTGAGACTTCCACTAACCTCTTCCTTTCCTCCAACAGCACATTTCATTATGCTTTGCACATAGCAATCACAAAAAGGTTATTTTTCAGAAAGAATATATCAAGATTCACATTTCAATCCTGCTAGTTCATAATATTGGTAGTGGTTCTCGGAGTCTTTTTCAATAACCTGATGTTAGACTACAAGAGCTGTAGCTAAAATGTTTACCCCAGAGGCTTCTAGGTCCTGATCCATGGGCTCTGAACATCATGATTAAGACAACCTCTGCCTTCAAGGAGAGCAGTCTTTTAAACTCTGCCCTTTTATTCTCTCACACTCATTCATTCACCCCCACACAAAGCAAAATATAAGAAAACAGCTGTAACTCAGTCAAACCCCAAAAGCCATTATTATCAAATTTTTATTCTCATTTTTAAACCAGAGATACCAAATGGGTTAGCCATTCGAAAACAAAATTGGTATGTTCAGTGGAGGAAAACAGAAAAGGAATTCTAAATGCAAACATAAAAATAAATCAACTATTTAATAACTAAATGCAGCATTTTTAAAAGAGACTAAAAGTTCCTTTTCTTAAACATATAATCTGCTAAAAGTATTTTTTCTCCTTTAAAACAACTTCTGCAATAGGAAGTCTGCTATTAAAGCTGGGGAATCAAAATTAAAGGCGATTGTCCATAGCTATTTCCAGTTAGTAGAAAATCATGTATAATAACTCCTTTAGGCTACCCAATTTTATTCTCAAGTATTCTTATGGAAGAGTAGATTAACTTATCTGAAGAAGGAGGCTTAAGAAAATGATTTAAAGGTAAATGTCTCAAAATAGTTATAAATAACATTTTTTCTTTTTACAACTCTCTTTTTCCATATTCATTTTTATGAGTTGCATCATGATACACTTTAACCAGCCACTTCACACACCTGCCTTTCTTACCATCTGTAAAATAATGGCTGCTCCTGCTGGGGATTCCTAAATAATTGGAAAAATAAAGGGGCTCTCAACTCCCCTTAAGAAAAGCAATATAAAATTCAGAGAATCTAAGCAAATGAAACATCATCATATTGGAGAGATTACTTTCTTAAAATTCTGGTTTAACAAGCATAGAAAACAAATTTCAAATCCTACTTAATTCCCTAATTTGCTGATTTATTTTGACATTAATACAAATGGATTGCGTTATGTGTGAGCTACTGCACTAGTGAAAGTAGTTGGTTCCCAGGTGGGAGTGGCGGGCGGTGCTGACACCCTGTACTATGTAATCTTCTTAATCACTTTGAGAGGTAGGTATTGCTATCCTCAAGTTTATAAATGAGGAAACACTCCAGATTAGAGCTCTTAATTTGCCCAAAAGTCAAACACAACTAGTAAATGGTAAAGTAACACCAGTCAACAAGAGTCAGTTTGGTAAGGGTAAAAATAATAAAATATGCAAATATATTGTGAGAAGTCAGCTAACCACATGACTTTCAATACATGCAAACTTCTTAAAAATTAAAAAATATACACCACTTTTAAATACTTAAAAATGTAGAAATCAAATTTCAAATGCTCTATAGTAAAAGTTTTATTTACAAAGCCTCTTGTTTCACATGGCAGATTGATTCTGTGCCTCTCTTTCTAATGGAGACAGATGCTTTCAAGTCTGGCTGACTAGGTAAAGATAATAATTAATATTAATAATACTTAGAACCAGAGGGCTTCCAGTGCAGATGAAAAACCAATAATCAATTCATTCTTTGGCAAGTTGAGATAAAACTATGAAATGTCTTATAAAACCAAAACCCTAATAAAGCAAAATTTACCAGTTTATTATTAAGATTACAAAAGAGATCCAGTGTCTGCATTCATATACAGCATGAAAAAAAAACCACATTTTTAAAAACACACAGAGGTATCAACTGAAAGCTGATTCTCATATAAAAACAGAACTCAGAACTGGGAGGACTACAATTTAGGCAAATTTTGAGACTGGCTTTGTCCATGGTTGTCTGATTTATTTCAGTTGTCACTTCACAAATGCACTAAGTCTTTATAAATTGGCTCAACTCATCAGGGCTAAATTACATGTGTTTTTAAAAGGTCTACCAACTGACCCTAACCTAACTGCCTTGTGCTCCATGATGTTCTGGCTCAGGTGGTCTCAGCCAAGCAGGCAATTTCTTATCTCCCAGGCTGTCTCAAACCTTGATCTTTTCCAGTTGCAAGCCACTGGGCACTCATCATTTGTCTCTCTTGGAATTACCCACACCATGCTGCCAACTTGTATCTGACTCCTCCTTCAAAGCCATGCTCAACATGTACAGTTGTGTTAAGTAGGTCGTCAGCCTGCCCAAATACATATCAGCATTCACCTACCTTCCTTTTCTATGACGGCTTTGCTGCTTTTCTCTTTTCCCATGTGTTTACCTCCTTCTCCTCTGATATGTTTTAGATTTCTGTCCCCATGCAAGTCTTATGTTGAATTGTAATCCCCAGTGTTGGAGGTAAGGCCTGGTGGGAGGTGATTAGGTCATGGGGGCAGATTTCCCCCTTGCTGTTCTTGTGATAGTGAGTTCTCATGAGATCTGGTTTAAAAGTGTGTGGCACCTCCCCCTTCTCTCTCTTCCTCCTGCTCTGGCCATTTAAGACATGCCTGCTTCCCCTTTTACCATGATTATAAGTTTCCTGAGGTCTTCTCAGCCACGTTTCCTGTACAGCCTACAGAATCGTGAGCCAATTAAACTTCTTTCATTTATAAGTTATCTGGTCTCAGGTACTTCTTTATAGGAGTGTGAGAACAGACTAACATATCCCCTAAATACTTAACAGCTTTGACCATCTTCTGCCTTTATGTGGAAGACACCATGGAAATTTAACATTTTACTGGCAGTTCAGGGCTTTAATCAAGAAAATGTTCTAAAATTAAATTGTGGTGACTATACTGAAAACACTGAATTATACTCATTGAATGAATGAATGAATGATATGGTATGAGAACTATATCTCAATAAAGCTGCTTTAAAAAAAGTGTTAAAAACAGACTATTAGAAAAATTTTATTTTAAACAAATTCAGAAATCCCTAGTCTCTGAGACATTCCATGTTCTCCCATCTTCCCAATTAAGAAACATAAGCTCTAAGTACATTTGACTTGCTTAAATCCTGTGCACAGAAAGGCAGATCTAAAAACTGAATCCCTTTATACCCTATTTTTAATATCCTCTATATCTTTGTCCTGCTATATAATTTAGAAGTACTGTGTTACAGACATTGAGCATTTGGAATAATTTGCAACACTGAAGGTCATTAAAAGGCAAATAAAATATAAGACATTTGAATATCAAGCCACTAGCAAAATCTCTGTGATCCGCAGTTCACCTCTTCAGAGATGAAGAAGTTGTATAGCCTAATGCCTCCTTCGAAGAAGGCTCCCTTTTAAAACATCCTCCCTACCAGGCACTCTTTGAGCATCAGCAGAAAGTTCCCTAATTGAAAAAACATGTCATTCCAGTATTGGGCAGCTCTGTTTGTTAGAACATCACTACATCCCACTGGAATTTACCTTCTCTAAGTTCACCAGAGTTCTTCTTTTCTAAAATTTCCCTTCAAATACTTGAAATACCCTATTAAGGAAATTCTCACTGAGTACCTACTATGCACAGGACAAAGTACCATGGGAGATTCAAGAATTAGGCAAACTGCTCTGAAAAAGGTTGTAGTCTAATAGTGATAAGACAGGTTCACAGCTACTATAACGTAAAAACTGAAAAACATGAAGGGGATACAAAGCACTACATTTTGAAACAGACTATTTGAGTTAGAATTCCAGACCTAAGACTAGCGATGACTAGCTATGATCATGGGGAAGTTACTTAACCTCATTAAGCCTCAGTTTTCTTATCTGAAAACTGGGTACAGGAATGTCTAAATTACACAAATGTTGAAAGAAATTAGAGGCAATGTTTGAATATGTATACACATATATATACACACACATGCACATATGAAGAGAGTACGTTCACAAATATGGAAATGATAGCTGCTTGTGGTATTAACACTACCGTTACTGTCTCATCATCATCTTCTCCAAAAGAAACACAAAATGCCATGAGTGCCCAAAGGAAAGATATCAAATCTCTGTAAGACAAGTAGAAAACATCACAAAGATGATCATGATTTTCCATCCTTTGCTGTCTTTCCTTCTACCTGAAAAAAATATTTCAATCATACTTTATACAAAATATCCTGGCCTCTGTCCTCTAGATTCTTCCCCTTTTGTCAAAATTTTCTCATACCGTATGCCAAAGACAGAACACAGCACTCAAAATGTGATAATTACTCATTCATTTACTAAGTCTCACTAATTCAACAGACGTTTCACTACCTTCTATGTGCTAGGTACTATACTAGGCTTAGAGATTTTTTTTTTAATGAGTAAGAACCAGTCCCTGTATACAGGAAGCTGAGAATCTGGTAATGGAAATGATTAAGTATTTATGATAAAGTGATCTTTTAATCTATAATCACTATGTAAGTATCAAGAAGGTATGTGCAAATTTCCATGAAAATTCTCAGTATACCAAGACAATCTTGCCAGACCTATTTATGATATTTAAGAGCATATGATTTCTATGAACCTGTGAAAAATCATTCTCTTTTTATTCTGGTAACTGTAACCATCTTTTTCTCTTTGGGAACTGATCTGTGTGATGCTGAAAGGAACTGAGAATTACAGTTTGGCCTCCCCAGCTACAGGAATTTGCAGGTGAACTAAGACATCCAATCAAAGTATCCAACACTCCTGGAGAGAATTATTGGTTGGCTATGGGCTCATGATTCAAGCAAGGCCAATCAGAGTCTTTTCCGAAGCTTCAGTCAGTGTTTGTAGTATCAAGAGCTGTGAGGATACTAGTGGCTTGGGTGGAGATTACAGTGAGCATCTTGCAACACCGGAAAGGGCTTGCCTGAGAAGGAAATCAAATTGAGCCAAGAATATTAGCATTACACAGCAAGAGAACATCTTAAAATAATTTGTTCTATATTGACTTCCCAGTTAAATGAGTCAACAGGCTCCTGCCTCCTCCCCTCTCCATTCCTCAGTTTTACATTGGTTTGAGTCAGGGCTCCCATCCAATTTCTGAAACATATTTTTAAAATTCATTACTAGAGAATGTATAATCATCCCCAAGCACCCATTGAAAGGAAACATGTGAATCATGTCCCACAATAGGAGGGTGGCGGGGGGAGACAAACACTGCACAGGTTACTCTGCCTCAGTGTAATACCCAAAATAAATAAAATCTTAAGTCTTTTCTGTTTACTAGCTCCCAAACAAAAACAACCTTTTCTCCACTCCCTTTTGTAGTGGATATGAGACAACTTTTGTGGATATGATAAACAAATGAGAAACTTACTGTTTTTAACCATGAACAGCTTAATTGAAAACTATTCTTTGTATTCTTGTGGGGGAAGGATTTTCCCCACTTTAAATAGCTGTCGCATTTTTTATTTGGTGAGTTAGGTCTTTTAAAGCTTGGATTTCCCTGGAAATCTTCTTTGCAAGTAATTATTTTCTCTTTTCTCAGTGCTTTTATATCTGAGAGTTTCTTTCACACAAATAAATTTTGATTTTACTAATTTGAGCTCATTGTTCAAACACACTGGAGTCTTTCTGAATCTTAATTATATCATTTTTATCTTTATTGATTCACAAATTGATATACATATTCTTAATGTCTTTATGAAGTTAATCATTTTTAAATAAAATGTTGAAAATAACTCATCTGACTTATATTCTTCTTTGTGTGAGTTACAGTATGTATAAATGACTTGCTATATTTATATTCCTATGGCAAATATGTATATAAATATATCAAATATATATATATACAATACTATACTCCAAGTTGATATTGATTTATCAAATCAAACATTTTATGTATGATTCTTCAATTAGTCATATATCCACTTAACCATATCATTTAGTCTACAATTCTTTATCTTATCCATAAGGAAATCATGAGATGCTCTGTCAAATATCCTGCTAACATTAAAACACATCTTCTCTTAACTCTTGCCCAGTGTCACTGTTACCTACATAATATAGCTGAATTTCCACCCTGCCCTAATTCTGCTTATCTTTAAGAAACAGGATGCCTGTGATAAAAAGTTCCCTTTGTAACCAGACCAGCTGAGACTGGTTAGAACCAAGATAGATGACCAAATGACTTTAAGGATCTCAGGTTTCGTTATAATCTCACAATTTTATTTCCATACTAAGTGGCACTCCCACCAGTGCCATGACAATGGCCATGACAATGGCCCAAAGAAGCCATAAAAGGACAAAAAGGAAGGCAGCACTCTAGTTCCAGGATGTTTACCGCCGATTTCTGGAAAACACATAAATATTCCTCCCCTTGCTTTTCATGTCCAACCCCTTCATTAGAGAAATCCTATATTTTAACTCCCTCACCCCTCACTAATAGAGAAATTGATTTTTGAGCCATGCTCCCACTTCTCAATTCCATGACCCTCGAATAAAGCTTGCATTGCTTGACATTCACTTTCAGCTTCATGTATTTGTTTCATGACACTCAACAGGGAAAGATTCCATCTTCTAGGGGACTAGGTTTGTTGGTAAAATCCCTGATCAGTATTCTTTTGAGTTCAAACATCAAACACTGAATTTGTATATGTGCTTGTGTGCACCTATATAAGTGTACCTCATTTTATGTAAGAAGTGGGCACTAATTGTTTTAAACAAAACATACATAAAAATTTCAACTCAGTACTTAAGATAATTTTGTAGTGAATGTTTATTGAGAAGTGAATATTCTTTAATTTATCTATGTTATACATCTCTGTTTTGCATATACTAAGCTTTAATTCAAGTAAGCCACATTTAGGAAACCTCATTTATTTACCACCGGGAACAATGTCATATAAAAATGTGTTGTCTCCTTGAGACTTTCATAACCTAAGCATGGGCCAAGAATACCTAGTAATTCTCCATGTTTGTTTACTTCTCTGCATCTGTATAGTGCCTTACACAACTTGATATGTAGTAAGCCCCACAAATATCTGGTGAGAGAATGCCTTACTGTATACATTAGAAGATTTAAATCCTTGTATCTCTTCACCCAATTCAACCTGGTTTCCATGTTTTAAAATGGCTCTTTAAAGCCACCATTTAATTCAATGTTGCCAAATCCAATGGATACTTTTCAGCCCTCATCTAGGGTGACTGTTCAGGAGTATCAGCCTTCTTAACCACTCTAATTTCTGCAAATACTCTATGGCAGTAACTCCCTTGGTTTCTCCCACTTCTCCAGCCATTTTCCTCAGGCACCATCCCTGTTCATCTCTCCTAGCATTAGCTTACTTCTAAGCCCACTCTATGATCTCCCTGCAAACTTTTACCCAACCCCAAGGCTTTAATTGCCAGCTATTTGCTATAATTCTCAGATTCACATAGCTAGCCCAGATGCTCTACTGAGCTCCAGACTGATGTACATAATGGCCCTTCCAATATCTCCTCTTGCCCCATCTCACAACTTGGTCAAAACTGTACTCATGGTCTTTCCTTCCTCGCCTCCAGACCTTCTCTCTAACCAAATAGTACCTCTACCAACCCACCTTTAACACTTTCCTCCCCCTCCATCTTATCAACCATCACATTTTGTGAATTTTACTTCCTATTTCTCTAATCCATATTCTTCTGTCTATTCCCTTTACCATCATTCACTTCCTTCTTCTCTCACCGGGAGAAGGGCATTATGAGACTTCTAAGTGTTCATTCATATCCTCTCTAGTCCCCTTCTAATCTTGTATATAAAACACTGCCAAAGGGATCTATATGAAGTATAAATCCAATCACATTGCATCACTCTGATACCAAAAAACTTGCAGTGATTTCTAAATGCTCTTAGGACAAAGGCCAAAATTCCTAATATGGCCCTATGAAACCATGCCTTTTCTAGCAATAGCTTATGTCATTAACTGCACCTAATGCAATCCCTTGCCCACATCCCCACATTCTAGTCACACATCCTTTTAGTTCTTCAAATACACTATGCTCCTTCCCATGTCAGGTCTTCACCATCCCGCTCCCTCTATCAAAAATGCTCTCCTTCCTTGGCCTTGCCCAGTTTTAAAAACAGACTGAGGCCTTCCCAGACTGGGTAAGAACCTCATAAAATTCAAACTTCTCTGCTGTAGCACTAATCCCAATTGGAAATAATAATTCATTTTATTTGATTGACTGTTTATCTCTTCCTCTAGAGTCTAGACCAGTGGTTCTCTAAGTGCTGAGATCCTGGACCAGCAGAATCAGAATTACCCGGGACCTTCCTGGAAATGTAAATTTTCAGGCCTTCCTCCAGACCTACTAGATTAGAAAATCTGGGACAGGGCCTTCCAGGTGAGACTGATGAACACTAATGTTTGACAGCCACTGCTCTACATCTATGGAGAAATTTACGTTTTTCTTCTATCCTTAGCTCTGCCCTCCTTACCCAGTATTCTGTAAATAACCAGTGCTCAGTAAAGATTTACTAAAAGTATGAATGAGCAAGCCATTCCACATTTTTCATGATGTTTATAAGAATCTCTTAATTAGGATTAGAATAATTTCAATTACCAATTAAAATTTTCCTGAAAAACTTCCCCCACAGGCAGAAAGAAATCTAAGCAATCTATTTTAAACTAAGATTCAAAATAAATACAGAAAACTTGTAACACTCCTATGTCATGTCGATGGTAATGTTTGGAATCTATATGCCTCAATAGCTGATTTCCTTGTCAATCAACTCGATCCTCTCCAAGTAGGGCAAAATAAGATCAAAGAGAACATAACAGGACAGAGAGAACCAAAACATAGTCATTGAACAACCCGAGAAACATCATTAAACCACTGGCAAATCACCAGGCTATTCTCAGCAAGAATAAAATATCTATTTATGTATTTATATAAAGAGACAGGTCTTGTTACACTGCCCAGGCTGGAGTACAGTGGCTATTCACAGGTGCCATCATGGCACACTGCAGCCTCAAATTCCTGCCCTCAAGCAATCCTCATGCCTCAGCCTCCTAAGTAGCTGAGACTACAGGTGCATGCCACTTTACCCCACTAAAATGCCATTTTAAAAGATGAAACCAAACAAATGAAAATGTTACCACAAAAAATTTCAAATTCACATATGCAATCTAAAGTTCATTACATATATTATTTCACTAAGTCCCCATTGCTTTACTTCTGAAGCTAGAAACATTTATCTTGAAATGTCTTAAATCACTTTTCTTAAAAAAACACTGAGTTTATAAAGTACTAGCACATTGTTTTCTTCTATACCAAGAACATGTTCAAATTTCACTCAGACACAACAGAAAAACATAATTTGTGTGTATGTGTGTACACCGCATGCCTGTGCATACACCCATATACATATATGTGTCTATGCATATGTGCGTATTCTGCATATACATTTAATATACGGTCTTGCATCCATTAGGCCCAGGTCAAACAGATTTTGTCACACTACTTACTGCCATTATACTCATGGATGTAATTAACTAATAAAAATACAGCTTTTGCATATTTTCATTGTAGATAAGACGAGATCCTATTTTACATTAGATCCCATTCCTTTAACCCTCAGTAACGATGAACTGATTATTACATAAAATAAACTAAATTGACTTTTGCCTTACTTATTAATAAGGCAGGTTTAGCCAAGAAAAGTTTATCTAAACAAACATAATCCAAATTACTTTTCAATTCACCTTAATGGTACCTCTCTGCATATATTTTCTAAAAAATAGCCCTTATTTGGCATTATGATAGGACTATCAGGACCTTACTTTACAACTCCTTGTCAGTTAACAGCTGTTAGTTTGAGTTACTGTTCTTACTGAAAGTAATAGTTGTACTTCTTATCATTGCAATTTGCCACTAATTTAAACTAGAATGTACTTGCTCTTAACAATTCAAAGTAATATTCCTTAAAAAAACTTAAGGACCTAAGATAATATTAATATAACAATCTAGATTAGAATCTAGGGATGCAAAAACAAGAGAAGAAAGTAATAAATTCCCTGACATCTATATATGCTTTCCAAACTAAGTCAAGAAAATAAATGTCATTATTTCAAAGATGCAAACATAAAGAAGCAACGCTCCATAGCAGCCACTTTGATCTCAGTTTCCTCTCACTGACACAGGCTGCTGTAGGCTAATTCTTTAATTAAGAGGAGAGCAGGTCAACTGCAGAGCTCATGTGTGCATTTTTCCTCTGGCTATGTGCCATTTATATGGTACTTACTTGCATTTTCTCAATGCAATTACACAGTAATCTGCCATAACCGAATAGCCCATGGCTGCATGGTTTTTACTGACAAAACATACTGAGTAACCAAATAATTAAAGAGAAGTTATAAGAACTTTCCATCCTGTGAGTCACACTACACATTTTAAGGCTGTGCTCTCTCTCATGTTATTACTTCTGGAAAAAATGTAACTGTTAAAAGTAGCAGTAATTTATTGAGCACTATGTGACAGGCACTGGGCTAGGAACTTTACATTAAATATCTTGAATGTTCTTATAGCAGCTTTATAAAGTAGGTGCCAATATCATCCATATTATACAAATAAAAAAATTGAGGCCTAGAGACATCAAATAAGTTGCCCACAGGACTTAATGGTATATGTGAAATTCAAAGCCAGGAAGGCAGACTTCAAACCCTAAACTCTAAAATTTCCTCTTTACACTTACATACGTGTGTCATAAATATCTCTCACGAACAAATTAGAGTCTGCTCAAATTGGAAAGAAGGTTGCAAAAATATGGGATGGAGTTGATGCAACACTGCTGGTACCTTTCCTTCTTCATCACATGGAGTATGGATCTGGAAATAGTCTTTTGTGGTACAGGGAGGGCGCTCTGTACACTCACTGGATCCTTCCTCTGCAACATAAAAAAAGCGTTTCAGAAATGGGTCAATTATTTTGCAACTCTAAGAAAAGGCAAAAAAGCAAAACAGAAAAAGCAACTAAAAAGTACAAATAAACTTACCAGGGCAATTTAGGTAGAACTACCTAGGTCTAAAGAAAATAAATGCCTACATTTTTATTTTCCCTAGAGCAATAAGTGTTTCTATGATACACATGGAGTAGTATATCACAGTTTTTCCCAGAAGATATTAGATTTCTTCCATCATCACTATACATTGGAAATTTGGAACAAATTAAAAGTTTCTATATACGTCTCTACACCAACAAATCATGTAAAAGTATAAACATTTTTAGATTAGTATAAACATATCCATAGCAGCTACCTGTGGGGTGTGGAATAGAAAAACAAATCACAGACCTATACTGGGGAAAGTCATGCAGAAACGGATAAGATGTCATATTTTATCCATTCAACATCAATTCACTCCAGCACTTTGGTTTCAGGCACCACTGCTGTCATACTTTATGGGTGACTTCTGGTTTATAAATGTACACTTGACCAACATACATTTAGAAAGAAAAAAGCAGAGTATAAACTAGTTCTACCTGAAAATTGAGAGTCGTCTTTACACCTTATACATTCTTTGGCTCCTTTCTCAGAATAGGTGTTTCTGGGACACACCTGGCAGTTGAATGAACCTGGTTTGTTGCTGAATGTGCCTGGCTTGCAAGGAAAACATTCTGATGTGTACGCCACCCCTGTGCAGTAATGAAAAACAGAGCATGGGAGGGGGACCCAATACCAATAAGCAAATCAGCACCTACTTCTGCTTCTACCCAGAAGTGAGGGAGATATATGAACAGTAAGGTCAGCCCAAATCTTTTATCTTATTCATCCAGCACTAAGAAAGCATTTATTGTGTACAAGGAACTGCACAATCAAGTCAGCAAACAAATAAGAGATGAAGATTTCATAGAGGTATAATACTTGTATTAACTGAGCAGTCAAAAGACAACTCCACTAACTCAAAAATGAGATAAACCCTAAGGTTCCCTCCAATTCTATAGGGCTATAATTATCTGATCCTTATGGTAACCTGTTCCCTTTTTTTTCCACTGCTTATTAAGTCACAGGTAAGACCTAGGAATGGCTTGACTTCTCCTCTGGTTTGTAATTCCAGTCTTTGCCAGCAGATGTCCTAGTGACTAATGAGTTAACACATTGTTCACAGGAACAAGCCCACAATGAACATATTAAAACGTAAGCCAAAGTTTAATAAAGGAGAATCACTGCTTTAATGAAAAATACTCCTAATTGAGAATGAACCATGCCAGGGTTCACCGACTGCTCTCCTGGGCCAGAAATTACCCGGTTGGCTCAGAGAAGCATAAAAGGTTTAGGAAAGAGTCAGGTCAAGATGTTTATTGTTATTTTTATGGATATAGCAGTGACTAGGTCATCAGTTCCCTGGTAAGCCCAATGTCTGGCACAACAGACATTTCTTGGAGGAATAATGGGGTCTTATTAACACAGAGACATTTTGTTTTTGTTTACAGACATCTAAAATTGTCATCATGTTTACTTTTTTTGCAATGATTAAATAATTTAGTTCAAGGGTACAAGAAAAAAAGAAAACAACTGTCGATTTCTTGGGAGTAAAACCAGGGTCTCCAGACCTATATGATTCCCTAACATATTAATTTCTGTTCTATAAATCTTTGAGCCAGCCAAACCAAAACTTTAATAAATATTTTAACTAACTGTAAGATGTGACTGGTGACTACTAAAACAGAATGCCATGAAATACCTTCAATTGTGATATTTTTTACCAGCACAGGCTTGACCGCCTTAGAACCCATAAGGATGCCTGTAGTTCTCCAGTAGAGTATGTTTGTGCCTGATTTCAGCATTACCTATAAAGAGAAACATAAAGGCACTTAGGGCAGATAAGCCATGCCATTTCCAAAAGCTACTCCCTTACATACTTTTTCAATCCATATAATAAAACACCATTAATTTAAAACCCACAGATTTAAGTCCACTGTTAATTCTGACCTAACCTCCGCTGAAGTTTACACTTTCTTAAAAGAAAAAAAATGGAGTTTGCTAATCCACAAAATACATTAAACAGAAAAGAAGAAGAAATCTTCAAGTCTAAACAAACACAAAAAATGATTCTCAAACCATCTGCATGAAGTCTTAGTTTATATTTAAAAGGAATCCATTTTAGAGGGTGAAAGTCCCTCAGCCCACTTGTATATTTATAAGTTGCCACTATTTATAAGATCTTTGAGTTCTGAAAACAAAAGGCAACAGAATGAGTTTGTTTCTTTTTAAAAATATATTTAATAAAAATACTGCTACAGTAACAAGAAAAAATAGGAATGTTCTTAGGGATAATCTGATTTAACTCTCTTACTCTAGAACATTAATAATACTATATGTAGTATTGGTTTCCTTTGCTACTGGAATATTTTGCTAATTATAAAATCAAACTAATTTTCTCATAAATTTCATGTTCATACAGGTAAGTGAACTAATTTTAAGAGTTCCTTGCTTTCTTATTTACCCCCCTTATTCTTCTATACAGTCTCTGGCTGGACAAATTCAAGCTGTATAAAATTACAATCCACCCAACTATTTCAGTGAAGCAGTACATTAAGTAAAAGTAGTGCATTAAGCACTTTCCCTTGTATTAAGCCTTTTTAAGTAAAAAAAGTATATTTATTTTTAAGGGTTACTTGTACCTTCAAAGCCCAGCTGACTGGGTGTTAAGGTATACGGATCTTAAATGTTATTAATATTATTCTCAGGTATACAGATTTTTAAAAATATTCTGAAAGGGTATGTTGTATTAATCACCCAAGGATGAGGTACCTGCTACAACCACAAAGACAAGGATTGATGGTCACTTATTGAAATAGAGCTTGATCTATATTGTAGGCACTATATTAGGCCCTTCCCACATATCTTCTGATTTAATCATGCAAGATTTTTCCTATTTTGCAAATGAAAACATCAGACACAAAGAGATTAAGCAAATTGCCTAAAGAAACACAACTATAAACCGGAGTTAGATATTAAATCCATGTCTCTCTCACTCCAAAGAGATGGTGCCTCAAATAATAACAGATTCACTGAATTGTTACCTGGTAATTGCCTTCAAGCATTTAAGGAGCTGTCCTGTAAGGAAGCAGGCAGTTACTTTACTTCATGTAACCAGAGAAGGTAGAATTTTAACCAATGTGTGGCAAATAGGTAGGAGGCAGGTTGAGGCTCCAAAGAGATATTTTGTGATAAACAGAGCTGTCCAACAAATGGAGACAGCACAGTACCCAACAAAACAAGCTTGAATATCACTTGTTGGGCACAGCGCAGAGAAAGATAAAAGGAATTCACAGATCCTTCCAATGAAAAGAGCCACTAATTCGATCACATATGACAGGCACATTTGTAAACTTAGAAACTCAAATGTTTTGTATATTAGTTTTGAACAGCCTTCTTTCTCATGGATGCCCCTTTGAAAGGGAGGAAAATTAGACTACAATGGGAAGGGGAAGGAAAAGGAAACTAAGAAGAAAGAAAAAGGTAGGAAAAAGACCCTGAAAATTGAAAGCTGAGTCCATGAAGCTAGGGGTAATTTTTTCCGTAACCAGAAATCATCTAAATTAATAGTTAATTTTGATATTTTTTCTTAAAATATACTTTTCTTAAAACGTTATGAAAGGAAGGGGAAGTTGGGAAAGAAGAAAAGGTTGGGGAAAAAAAGAAGAAGGAAAAATTGGCAAAGAAGAAGGAAATACAAAGAGACTTACAGAATGAGAGCCCCATTCTCCATTGTCTGTAAGTTTTACCCACTTGTCAGTGGTGGTGTCCATCTCCTGGCACTGATCATTTTGAATCTGTGGATTAAACACAAGAGCCCTAGTAAAGTGTCTTGAATAACAGCTTTAATTAAATTCTGTACCCAGCACAGACTGCAAGAACCTCGTTCAATACCTTCTAAACAATGGCCATGAGTAATTCTCAATAAGTAAACATACCGAGACCTCTGGAGCCTAAGTGACAACTGCATAAGACTGAGAGGTTCTAAGTAAACTATCTTCATCATTGTAACAAAAAGCCTAGCTCATTAGAGAGAGGAATGTGGGAGAACACTGACAATGCACACTAACACTGTGACTAACACTGACAATGCACAGAAAGGAGACAAAGTATAAAACAACTACCCAACTTACCCAAACTTTTTCATAGCTTGCATTCACCATGCAGGCCCAATAGTATAAAAATAAACAAAGCTGTTCTTTATAATATTTGCAGCAGTAAAATTTTAAATTAAAAATAAATAAAGTCCACTTTGTTTTCCATTCCCTAGGACTTAATCCAAATGCAAAAGTAAGTGGCTATGGCCAAAGTCAAAGTTCCAAATTTTTATTTGGGGGTAAATGGTAATCATTTGCCATGCCAATTCAAATGATTACAGATATCTTTAACACCAAACACCTTTTGCTTTCCAGGCAATTCTTCCAAAATGTCAAGGGGTTGGGACACTACTTTTCCAGGTCTACAATGAATACAGAGACATCAAAAAGTTAGGCCACCTTTCCAATATTGCAAAACAGCAACAGAGTAGAGTTAAAATAAGATCTCATCATCTATATTCCCACCAAAAGAAATGGTTCTTCCTTTCATCTCTAAATCATTTTGTTTCTTCACTCCTCTTCCCAACCAATTTACAAATATTAAAATGTTCTCCTTAAGAGCTATTCCCTAAAGACTTACTAACTAAAATATAGACCCTATTGCCATCCAAATACCAGAGAATATCAGCTACTGAGGGTACTTACTTTAATTGAATTTAAGTGTCATATTCACTTTATAAGCATAAGGACCATTTTAATGCAAGTGTTAAGCTACTTAAAAGCAGATGTGGACCCTGAATATACCTTTAATGGTCAACGTGTAGATAAACTGAAAGCTTTTTTTATCACTGAAAGCAGACGTCATATGTTATCTTGACATTCTACTGGCATTCTGGAGACCTGTAAAACCTAAGTCTAATCACTTAGTCTCTCTAGGCTTCAGCTTCATCATCATTTAAAAAAAAAAATAGAAGGGCTGAATGAAAGTTTCATATAGTTCCAAAATTAAATACTTTGTTGCTGTCAATTATGCAATGCCCATATGTACAACTCTCAGAGAACAGCATATTTCAATCTACAAACACTTTCTTTCCATTAACCATTAGTATGATGACCATGAAGTTTTGACCTTCTGAGTCAATAAATTGCAACCTCTAAAGCTGAAACATCAATAGAAGAAGGAACATGAATTTGCCATCCCTTTTCAGATTATAACCAGAACAAAGGCATCGCTGACAGGAATTAATGAAACTTTATGCCTTAAGGGTACCTTTATTGACATCTCTCAAAGAACTTATTGGGCAATACAAATCTAAACACTTATTCTCACAATTAGATAACTGCTTTGCTTCTTAACTTTATTTCAGTTTTAGCAATGTTGCCAAAAGTATCCAATGAAACAGGGAATTGTTCACTCTCAGAAGGATTTTGCAAACTAAATGCAGGTTAAACATAAATCTGTTTGAATGTTGCTTAACATTTTAAACTCATCAAAAGATATTAGTACTAGGAGACTCCTTAAAAGATATTGTCACATAATCTACTTTATAGAAGTGAATGCTTAGTGCCGGAAGGTTCACTTAATTGCTCAATAACAGTGTTAACAATTACAGAGTTGGAACTAGAGCCAGAATCTCTTGACTTCAAATCTAAAGCTCATATTTCCATGAAAAATCTCTCTTGCTACCAAACTTCTGATTTAGAAATTCCCATTTCCAACAATACAAATTTGTTTTAAAATTTTTAGTACATTTGTTTCTGAAATCTGGACTGCAGAAACATTTTTCAAGATAGTCTCCCATCTATAAGCACAACACACACTTGGTTTGGTATAAGAAGTCAATCTGAGAACATTTGCTCAAGCATTTGTGTCATGATAAATATTTGCTAGATTAGATACTGTTTATTACTAATGGTTAAGTAACTTTAGTGGTAACAGCTTATTTTGTTAGATGATTACTTTATCTTATCTTCCGTAATGTTATTTAATTTCTTTTCAAAGACATCAAGTATCCCATTCATTGATGTTTT
The DNA here is from genome assembly GCF_000001405.40 of Homo sapiens. Lineage (NCBI taxonomy): Eukaryota > Metazoa > Chordata > Mammalia > Primates > Hominidae > Homo > Homo sapiens. The sequence goes on from NC_000007.14 coordinate 86,944,376, forward strand.
TAGACTGTACTAAATTCACAGAATCAGAAACATGCAGCCACTTCTACTTCTGAAAAAAAATTGCTCATAAATACACTTAAATAATTTTTGTTAGCAAAAAAATACTTGAAATTGCAAAGAGAAAAAAAACTTTTAAGTGAAAACTAAAATTGGTTTAAAAAACACAGTTTTGACAGAATACTATCTGTAGCTACTAAAAGTAATGTAAACATGAATCTTGGAGGAAATATTTGTCACACAAAAAGTCTAAACCAAATGGTTATATAATGAGCATAACTAAAAGTTAACCAAGCCCAATGTTATGCTGCAAGGTGAGATCTTGGAGGTAAAGAAACAATATTAACCAGGAAACAAAATATTATAAAAAGAGATTAAAGTTTTCTTTTAACATCAAAAGGTTCAGTTAACACACACACACAAAAAAAAAACTGAGGAGGAATAAAGTGGAATGGGAACAACTGACTAAGGGAAATTTACATGAATGTCCCTTAAAAAGTAAATTCCAGAATACAAAAGGTCTTACAAAGAACTCAAAGAAGATGTTGTTGTCGACATACTGGTACTCAAAGAAGACATAGCCTGACTTCTTAAGGTGCACAGCATAGATCAAAGACACCGTGCAGTCATCACGATTAGATTCTATGTAGTTTCCACGAGGGATCCAAGAAGAGCTGTGGAAACAAAACCAAGAAGCACTTTACATTAATGTTCTGAAACCTCTTCTATTCACAAAACTATGTAACTCAGATTCACGAGTAGTTCCATCAGCAAAGTACAGCAGAAAACACCAGAAGCTTTTCCAGACTCAAAGGCCAACTTTATTACTGAGAAGAGGTCCATTTCTTATGGCAAATAACTTCGTAAATCTTTTTAAGGTTATATGATTAATCTGCTAAGAAATTGTTATTTTTCACCCAAAATTTGATTACCAAATAGATGATAACTAATTTTAGTAGCCTTAGATGGAATTATTCTTTCAGATATCTGCAGTTTTATTTGTAAACCCATACACATGGCAAATCTATGGAAGGGGAGAAAGAGCACCATTAATGATAAATACGTAGATTAACATATAAAGCTATATTTTTTCACCTTAATTTTTTAGGAAGCTGTGTGTCATGTGAAATGAACTTGTCAGTGATGGACTTGGCTTTGAGTTCCTAAATCTTTGTAAGGTTATTTTAAAAGCAACTAATTATTTAAAACATAATACCATTGTATTGTAGGGTTTATAACATGTTTCTAAATATATGGCAATAGTATGAAGATAAGGGTATAGATGTAACTATGCTGTTGTAAAATTTAACATTATATAAAGGTACAATAATAACTCTATGTTACCATAAGGATGCATACAGTAATTTCTAGCCTTTGCAACCTGGGGTTAGCAAAGATATCCTAACATATGACCACAGCAGAAAAAAATAATAAATTGTATTCTTTCAAATTTTAAACTTCTGCTTATCAAAGGACACTATTAAGAAAACAAAAAAGGCAAAAACCACAAATTGGGAAGAAGTGTTACACACACATGGAGACGTGTGTATGTGTATGTGCACATACTATATATTTATTATATAAATATATACACATAAGAACCCATGCCCAGAATGTACAGGAACTCCTTCAGCTTAATAATCAAATGACCAAAAAAAAGTAGAGAATGGGCAAAACAATTTGACTTCACAAAAGTTAATAAACACATGAACAATAAACACATGAAACATGTTTGACATTATTATCCAGCAGGGAAATGCAAATTAAAACAAAGGGATACCATTTCTCACACACACACACACACACACACACACACACGTGTGCATACACTGGAAAGCCTAGGGCTAGAACAAAACAAGACTTAACAATACAAATGTTGGTAAACATGTAGAATAACTAGAACTAAAATATACTACTGGTGGGAGTCTACAATGATATAACCATTTTGAAAAGCTCAGACTTTTTAGAAAGTTCAACATACATCTCCTATATGACACAACTAATTAAAGAGAAATAAAAAGTATGCAAAAGTGGACGGAGTTTTGCTCTTGTTGCCCAGACTGGAGTGCAATGGTGCGATCTCAGCTCACCGCAACCTCTGCCTCCAGGGTTCAAGTGATCCTCCTGCCTCAGCCTCCAGAGTACCTGGGATTACGGGCACCTGCCACCACGCCAGGCTAATTTTTGTATTTTTAGTAGAGATGGGGTTTCTCCATGTTGGTCAGGCTGGTCTTGAACTCCCAACCTCAGGTGATCCGCCTGCCTCGACCTCCCAAAGTGCTGGGATTACAGGCATGAGCCACCGCCGCACTGGCCCAGACTCAAATTTACACTGAGAAAATTACACTAGAAAACACTACATTGAAAAACTTCCGCTTACTCGATTTCTTTTATGCATAAACTATTCCAGGCAGAAAAAGAAGCCTTGTCAGTATCTCCTGCCCACCAAAACAAAGATCTGAGGTCCCACAACATCCTACTAGTACCTTCCTCTAAGGAACTCTTTTACTTAAAACACACACTCTCTCAAGGAAATAATCCTATTATCGAGAGATTAAAATAAAGAAATTGGCATCATTTGGCAAAAAGACAGCTAGAGTGAAAGGAAGGAAGAAAGGAAGGGAGGGAGGGAATGAATATGCCTTTCAACACAGCTAAATAATTCCCCAGCATCCTTAGCTTATGGTAAAAATGTGGGGTTCCTGAGAGGCTACTCTTGTCAGGGGGTAGCCAGAGCCCTAAAGTTGAATTCTCCTAAGCAAATCCATATGAAAGGAAATGTTACATAATTAATACAAGGGAACAGGAAGGGATATAGCTCAAAGACAAACATTTTGTTTTGTTTTTTTCAAAACAGTTTAACATTTCTCCAGCTTTGTCATATGCAAAGCTAATAATCCCCTATAAAAGAGGTAGGAATTAAGCAAAGGCGCTTTCCACCTTAGGTACTTAACCCACTCTCTTTTATAGGAGATAATCAAGTGTCTAAATGAAGGTTATGAATTCTTCCTGTCAGAGGAAAATAAAAAAACCTGAAAGTATCTGTTAAAAATCAGAAAAAGGTTAGTAGAAACACCAGTGGCTTAAATGTAGTTATAAATATGAGAAAATTAATTTGCTTCTCTAACAGCTTTATTGCATTTTTGCATACAGTGTCTATTATATCCTGAGGGCAATGATTTTAACCTCATGAAAACTCATTGCAATGACCGTCCAAAAAACATGATTCTTTGCAATTAGCTTATCTATCACCACAAACAGTACCAAGATTATCCTCATCTTCTTTCTGGAAAAGAGCAACTACTTTCTTCTCAAATATTCAGTTAAGAGCCAAAGGCTGCTTTGGATTCTTACTTGTTACAGCCGTCTGGCCTGCTGTCAGAAGGGCCCACCACAGTGTCCATGAATGTTGCGATGTTAGAAAATCCTGCCGGCAATTCATCCCATTCATCAAATTTGATGCCACTGCCCAAGGAATAGGTGCCTTCACCACACTTACTGCATACCTGGTTCTTCATTTCTAGATACTCTCCAGAAGCACAGGAGAAAGCTGGAAGGCAGAAGAATGGACAACCCATTACTTACCCTCCCATCAATTTCCTCCCCTTCATGCTGTCACCAGAATTATTTTTATAAAACTCTGATTGTGCCACACTCAAACGAAAGCCTTTCAAATTCCTCTTATCACTACATGCATTTCACAATCTGGTTCCAACCTATTTTTCCAAGCTCACCCTTTGCCCCACCCTCTTCCAGCCAAAACAGAATTCCTATCATTCCCAAAATATTTCATCCTCTCTCCTGCTGTTGTGGTCTTCTTTCCTACAAGATAGATGTTGGCCAATCCTACCTTCTCTACATGGAACACTCCTGTTCTCAACTCAAAAACCACTCACTTCATAACAGATCCCTTCCCCTGGCCCAATGGGCAGTCAGTTGTACCTCCCTTTATGGTCCTACAGTGCACTTGTTATAATACCTCCATTAAAGCACTTAATTTATGCTAATCAGTGGATAAGCACATATTAAGACCACTTATAAGTTGATGTGAGATTTTGAGCTTTAAGAAAACAAGGATCATTATTTTTGGATTCCTAGCTGTATCAGGCACATACTAAGTCCAGATAAAATGCTGATCCAATGAGTGACAACTAAATATAAAAAGGGAAACAGGAAAGCAGTGCAATAGTTGAACAGGTTATCTCCACTCTGAAACCATGAGCCCACTTTTTCAATATTCACACCAACCTAGTCATCTCTACCACCTATATCTTATTTCTGATGTCAAGCTTTCTGCAGACTCTGAGAACTGTACCCAGAGATACTAGATACGACAATGTGAAGAATAGTTGACACACTACAAAAAAAGAAAGCTAAGTTATTATTCCTTCAACAAATGCAAATCAACATCCTCCAAGTACATGGCTATGTGCACGATGGTATTAGTGACTCCAACCTTGGAAAAGGGCTTTCTAATCCTTTAATCAGGATATTAAAGAAACAAGAACAAAATGAGACCTCCAAATTACCCAGTGAAGAAAAACAAATCTCCCAGCAGAGTGTAAAGCAGCAAAGTCTCACATTTAGGTAGATTCTTCTCTTTTAGAATACATTAGAAAACTTAGCCAGAAATAAAAATCAGCTGATTTTTAAAAACTAATTAAAGAATTAGAGCTAAAATCCACACACATCTACTTATTCGCTGAATTAATATAATGCTTTCCTTGAGAAAACCTTAAAGATGCTGTACAATGAACTTCTACATTCAAATCAACATCCCCAAATCAGTAAAACATGAGAAAATAAAAAAAGATTATGCAAAGAATGTGGCATGCTGGCTACATAGTCAAAACTGTCCTAGGACAAGGCTGTACCACTTCCTAATTCTATGACACTGAGTGAGTTATTTCACCTCTCTAGGCCTTAGTTTCTGTCTCTAAAAAATGAGATAACAATCACAATAGGTACCTTTAAGGGCTATACTGATGGCAGCAGCAGCCAGCCTGGAGTGACCACTGCCATGAAGCCGGCTACTGTGGGGGAAGTGCGGACCAGGCAGCACGTTCCATGGAGCCATTGGGGCGGGAGGAGGCAGAGCCCCGTCCTCCCAGGCAGACTCAAGCTTCCCTGTGCTCTTGGGGGCCAGGAGCAGGCAGGAGCTCCACCATCCTGAGCACAGCTGCAGCTACCCAAGCCATGGCTGTGGACCAGGGCATCTTGGCACTCTCAGGGGCCCAGGAAGAACCCCTTCCCCCACAGGCTTGGAGACGTCTGCTCCCCCTGCCTGGCCTCTCCCCACTCCTGGCACCCCTTCCAATCTCAGAGCAAGGTTGGGGCTGAGCCTGGGCACTCTGCTAACATACCAGCTTCCTGCCACCTCAGCCTCCTCCAGACTTTGGCCACCAACAAGCACAGGAGAGAGACTGAAGCAGGGGCTGAAGGCAGCTTGGCACTGGCCTGCAGGCACTCCTTGACCGAACAGCCTGGGTGCCCAGAACAGTGGCAGGAGGCATAGAGTCTCCTGGATGGAAGGGGATGGGTCCCACAAAGCCCCACCTTCAAGCCAGGGAGGCTCTGAAGCCTGGGGGCTGGGTTGCCAGTCAGTGGGCCAGAATGGGAACTTGTGGTGCTTTTTCCCCCCAGACTGCCCATGGCCGCCCATTGACCAATCAGCACACACTTCCTCCCTCTGGCTGGCTGAGGCCCAGGCCCATAAAAGCCCTGGACTCGGTTACCCACTCCAGGGTCCCCTCTCTGCTGAGAGCTGAACAGTAGCTGAGACACCCTGCTTATGAAGAGGAGCTAGTCACTGTGGGTCTCCTCTAAGCTATTCTGTAGCTCAATAAAGCTCCTCTTCACCTTGCTCACCCTCCACTTGTCCACATACCTCATTCTTCCTGGATATAGGACAAGAACTCAGGAACCACCAAATGGTGGAGCTAAAAGAGTTTTAACAAATAGGGCTGAAACATGCTCCTTGCTTGCCACGTTGCAGGTGACAAGAAGGAGAGAAGAGCTGTGGCCCTTTGGGGATACCAGACCTGGAAGCTCCCCAAGTCAAGGCTGTAACAGCCTCTTTGGGGCTCTGTAGTTCCTGTAACAGCCTCTTTGGGGCTCTGTCTCCAAGCTTCTGGGTGCCACCATATTCCCCGGTGCCAGCACAGAAGCTGCTTGTGGCATGCTTGGTTCAGCTGCAGCCTCACAGGGAACCAGTGCCCATGCTGTCACCTGGAGTTGCTCCCCCCACCGCAGCTGTCATGCCTGGCTGTGCATGGTAGCCTGAACCCCATGCTCACTCACACACCCCTTGCCACTCTGCACCTGGCTAGCCCTTGGCCAGCGTGGGACCCAGGCCAGTAGAGTGAGCCAAATGCAGCCTGGCAGGCCAAGGAGGCAGAACAAGCCTGGTGGGCCTGAGCAAAACTCAGGCAAAGGTGCCACTGGCCACAGGGGTTTCCAGCTGGTGAAGTGACACCCCAAGAATCCTGTGACCATACTGAGAAAATAAAATATAGTATAAGGTGGTTAGTGCCTGGCATATAACAAATGCTCATTAAAGCTATTATCACTACCAGCACAACTAACAGAAAAACACAGTTATGGAAAACTGCTTATTTTCAATGGTCTATGGATCTTCTAGCAAACTCAGAATCAGACATTTGCCTAATATGATAAATAATAATATCATAAACCAAGACCCTACAGTACATTAAATCAGAGGTGAGCAAACTACAACCTGCAGGGGAAATCCAGCTCACTACCTGCTTTTGTAAATAAAGTTTTATTGAAACCCAATCCCGATCATTCATTTACCTACTGTCTATGGCTGCTTTCACACCACAATGGCAGAGTTGAATAGCTGCAACAGAAACTGCATTGCCCACAAAGACAAAAATATTGACTTCCTAATAAAGTTATCTTGGAAGACAGTTTAGTGTCCAAAATGGTATTTTAAGTTGATTATCTATAACTTAATAAAAGGTAATATTTTATGATATGTTGTTATAAAGAACTCTAAAATATAAAAAAGAGAAGAATTGCGTTTGTGAATCTTGTCTTCTAAATACAATGATGCCATTTTGGAATGTTCACTGCCCTGTTAATTAAAATCATAAAGAATATTCCCATTTCTTTCCCAAGTGTTTCCATGAAGTCAGAAGGAAAACTAAGAGATAAAGTTGAAAGTGAATATAATGGATATTTGGTATATACCAGGTGCCATGCTTGATACTTTACAAACACAGTAAATTCTTGTTATTCGCAGTAGTTGTGTTATATGAATTTACCCCAAACACTAAATTAATGAATACTGGACCATCACTCTTATGGAAAATACAGGGTTAGGTTCCTGGGAACCTTTGGTCACATCACCTTTGTCAACCAATCAATACCTAACCTTGTTTAAGTGTATTTCTTTTTAAAAACATCTGATTTAGTATATGTTGTTAATTCGTTAATGTTGAACTCATGGCCAACAGAACTATAACTCATGCCTGAATAAAGCTTATCTAACACATGTATTTTTCTCTGAAAGGCATAGCACAGCCCTCTTGTACTTAGGAACACTAGCCTTCACATTGGCACTATACTTGGAGGGCCATTTTAAGCAGCAAAATCACCCAAAAAAATAACTAAAATGCTAAACACATAGTACTAAATAAACCACCAAAAGGACACTTGTTTACAGTATGAGAAAAGCAGTAAGAAGTCAAAGTGTCACCTTGTTCATTCATGTAGTTGGGTGACTCAGATATCTCACCACTCTGCATATGTCTGCAAATAACTATGAAAGCATTGAGTGTATTAATTTGGGGGTTACAAATAAATTTTAGCAAGTAGTCAAATTTGCAAATATTGAATCCATGAATAATGAGGATTAACTGTGTTTATAGTAGACTGGTGAGGGAGGAAGGGATTATGCCTATATACCAGATGAGGAAACTGAGCCACAGTGCATTTAAATAACCTGATTAAAAAGGTTAACTAGTTAACAGTTAACCAATGGCAAAGCTGAAACTCAAATTCTGGTCTGTCTGATTCCAAAGGTGGGGCCTCAGAGAAAATTCAGTTCAAAAAATTATTACAACCAATACAAAAAGGGCAAACAATTCCAACCAAATTAATCATCATACATCACATCATTCTTCATTCCTATCCTGAACTGTTAATGTTCATGTGCATTATACAGCAATAACCATTTTAGCAATAACCTCATATTTCTTGTGGATTTTTAATGTACTACTCCTAAAACATGCATTAAAAATATTTTAGCAAGTTTCTATCTTCCATAAGTCTAATGACTTTGCCTATAAAAGGAAAATAATAACAATAGCTATCTCAATGAGTTGTGGGAATAAAGGAGATATATCATATAAAGCATTTAGCATATTACCTGGCATGCAGCACACAATAAATATTAAATACAATTATTAATAGTTTAGGCTGGACTCAGTGGCTCACACCTGTAATCCCAGCACTTTGGGAGGCTGAGGCAGGCAGACTGCTTGAGGTCAGGAGTTTGAGACCAGCTTGGACAACAAGGTGAAACCCTATCTCTACAAAAAACACAAAAAGTTAGCCAGGCGAGGTGGCGCACACCTGTAATCTCAGCTACTTGGGAGGCTGAGGCATGAGAATTGCTTGAGCCTGGAAGACAGAGTTTGCAGTAAGCTTAGATCATGCCACTGCACCCCAGCCTGGGCAACAGAGCAAGCCTCTGTCAAAAAAAAAAAAAAAAAACCCACACAATTATTGATAGTTTAATTCAGGGACATGGGACACACATCTCTATAAGAACTCTGCCAGTGGATTACATCCTTCAGATTAATTATGCAGTCAAATTAGTTGAATAAGTATAGGGCCTTTAATAATACAGAGGAGCTAGTAAGTCTAAAGCTTTTCATAGTTTAATCATTTGCTACTCCTCAATCTTTTTCATCCTGGAAGTCAGGCTTAGAGACACCTGTCAAAGGAAGAAAAGAGCCACACTTTCTTGGTAAACACTGTTTACTCCACAAGACTATGTCAACAGAGTTAGCACTGCTGACTTCCTTTGATGGCCACCAAAACTACCTGCTTTTCCTTTTATCTTCCATCCTAGCCTCATCCACTCTCTATGTCAACACTGCTACCTTGGCATTTGTTCTTTAATTAGATCATCAGGTTTTTTAATAATCTTAAAGACTGTACTATTTTCATTCAGTTTTTTTAGCATACAACATAGGAACCCTTCAACAAGCAGTATGATAGACAGTTATTATTAATAGCTGTTGTTAACTGTTGTTAGCTGTTTTGAACATGAATTTACCGTATTTAATTTGAATCAATTAGTCATTTCTAATTTTTCTTCTTCAACAACCTTGAAATCTTAGAGAAACTGAATTAAAGATAGGCAAACTCCAAAGTTTTTAATGAGAACAGAAAGACCTTATTTGCCTAAGGTCTTAGGCACTACTTAACAGTGGCCTCAAGTATTTCACAATAGTTTACCTAAGCACCCAGTGAAAGAGTGATATTTAAAAACCCAACATCTTGAAGTCTAAACTGTAACCAAGAGGTCATTTGCTGCACTCACTGTTCTTTTTATCAGCCTTATGCCTCTTCTTTTCTGACATTTATTTCTGCTACTGTGAATCTGTAAAGGTTTAAATATGCAGGTGTGAATAATCAGATACGGAAAAAGCATTTATATTAGTCCGTCCCCAAGTAGCAAATATCTTAGGCAATTTACTTAACCTCTGTGCTTATTCACACTCCACCATCCCCTTCTCCCTCCTAGGACTGCTTATAATAATCCAATGTGAGACTCTGGAAGCCACTCTGAAAATAAAGAGTGTTGAAAATACAAAGCACTGCTATGATCATGCAACTACCCAGCACAATATGCCAAATAACTGTTACTGAATTGAATCATTTATATGCTGATTATCATCTATGATTTATGCCTAACAATAAAGAACATCTATTTTTAATCATTGTACCACAAGGCCACATAGTTTTGCTTTTTCTTCCTCCAGAGACCTCATGTTTTGAAAGACTATGGCTGTCAATTACATTTATTCATAATTTACTCATTTTTGCTCTTTTTAATCAAAGTTTTTATTACTAAAATATGTTTTCTAAACAGTGAACAGCAATAGTAAGTAATAATAAACGGATTTTCAATTTACTTGTTTAATGAGATGTTAATGATATAGTGAACCTATGCAAACTTATTACAGATAAATATCTGGGAACAACATTGTGGCTTTCTCAGAGCTTCCATGATAGTCTAATCTAGACTGATCTTCCTCAAAATAAATCAAATTTATATCTCACTAAGTATAAATTCATTGTAATCCATCTTGTCAGTTAATATCAGCTAAGTATAATTATATATATTTGTGGGGAAATATAAAGTAAATCAATTCCAGGATCAAGACAAGCCCATATGTCTATTTTTCTTCAATGGGTTAGTCTTATTTAAATAAGATGAATAAGGTTCAAACCATAGACATTCTTATATCGACGACACGCTGATGCTCTTGCAACTGTTCTTACTATTACTCACTGCCATTAAGGATAATACAAAGAAAGAGAACAATGCTTAGTGTGTGAACCTCACAAATAAGTTCTACTTCCATCTCTCATGTAGCCAATTAATTATCATTATCAGATAATTAAAACTTTAAGTGCCTGCCAGATTTATTATCATTCTTTTCACACACCAAAAAAGCAGAAAATGGCATCTAAGAGAGACTGAACAGCATATTGAATCCAGCAAATCTCAGATCTTCTTCCTCCTTCAGTACCAGTGATAAGGACAGCACTTGAACACCATCCTTTTAAGCTGTTATTTGTGAAATTCTTAGAGAAGAAAAAGTAATCTATAATTCTCATTTTATGAAAATAAAAGTATGATAGGGAAAGTCAAACAGTACATTAAAACAGGCCATTTCTTGCTGATATTCTCTTAATCACAGTAAAGCAGATTTTTTCCCCTGGCTGAAGGGAATTCTTGTTCTCTCTAATTGGGAATTTTTTTTTTATCCTGAGGGTAGTTTTCATGTCAAAACATACAAGGCAACAATGAAAGCTGGTTGTGAGTACATCAACTATCTGTCATGTTCAATTTAAGGCTGGAAGAGGAGAAAGGAAGGTAACACTGTCCAAATACTAATAGTGGCAGACATTGCAATATTCCTATCAGAAGAGAATATTCATGAGCATTAAGAAGATATATTAGTATTGCACTATAATTCACAGGTAATGTGATTTGAGGCATGATTTGATCACAGAATGAATAAATCTGTGATATGTAATAATAACAATTAAAATAATCAGAATCACCAAAAGAGACCTTTGAGATTATCTGATCCAAACCATCCCAATTCAGATTCCAAGTTTCTTCTTCTGTGTAACCATAAGCAACCAAGTTCAACTTTTCTACTGTTTCTAGTGGCAGACTTTCTAACAGACTCCATGACTCTCTACCCAATAAACCCACGGTTACCATGCAGCCAGAAGATTTTAGTATAACTAAACTGAGAAAAATCCACTGTCTTCAAGTGAAAAATAATAGCATTAGAAAAGAACTCTGCAAAAAACAAAAAAAAAAGGAAAAGAAAAGAAAAAGAAAAAAAGAAAACAAAAATAAAAGGGGAAAAAAAAAGAACTCTGCCTTAAAAGTCACAGGATGTGAGTTCTAGCTCCAGCAGTGTCACTTAGCCATCTGAAGTAACAGATGCAAAGCTGCTATGTCAGCTCTGAAGTGGCATGATAAAATTATCAGAACTGAAATCTTGAAGCCCAATCCCACCAATAACAATTTTTAATTTTTCACTAAGAGTTGGCGGTGAAGTTGTAGGACACATGGATATACTTTGTAAGTTACTTGTGAAATTCTCAGAGAAGAAAGAGAAACCTGTTTTCATCTTTCATTTTACAAAACAAAAGTGAGATGGAGACACACAAAAGAGTACAGTAATATGAACCCATTCTAGCTAGCATTTCCTAACTCACTGTTCCCTGAAAAGATTATTTAGTGAAAAGTACTGCCTTTATATTTCTGAAAACTAATTTCACATCCAACATCCTTTCCAGTGGGTCTTCACATAGCCCTATCAAGTGGAACTGTATGACTATCACTGCATTTCTTAGGACTTATCAGCCAGAAGCTTGATAATTTAAAAGTAGAAGTCACCTCCTGGCAAGAAAACTGATACGTGTGACACCACAGATAGTAATCCCCGTTAAATCAGCAGAGGCTAGATTTAAAGTTCATATCTTTTTATAAGAAAAGCTAACTAAGGAATGTTTAATCTCTGAAAGAACAAAACAGAAATGTATTTTATTGCAGCTTCTTGACTTCAATGTTTGATGGGGGAGGGGAGAAATCTCAGTTCATTGGGCACAGGATGACACAAGGCTTACAGAAAAAAGACAATAGTGAAGGTCAAGGGAAGAAAAATGTTCAGAGTATGTGATGAGGTCACCCAAGGGGGCAGAACAATACATCCGTGAAATCAGTTTTCTCAACTTTCAATTATGCCCTACCACTTCGATTCTTATCATCCTAAACTTTTCCTCTTCCTTAGAAAGTGTCAGTCACCTTCTACTTCTTGATAGTCTCTGACCTTGATTCTGCAGTTTTGAGGGCTGAGTTTTCTCATCTCCTCATAAAACACTTTTTTCAGAGAAGTTCCCCCAACCATAGCTCCCATCAAACAATACGATTGACCTAAAGTCTGATTTTCAGCTTTTCTCAACTGTTTTCATCTCATCTCCCAATCTGATTCATTCTAACCTTTCAGCTATCACTTGTGTGTTACAGAGGAGGTTTAACTTTGTCTTCGCACACCTGGAACTCAATGTAGCAACATTCCAAACTAAGCCTTCTGAGGACAAAATATTTGACAGCATTTTGTATGTCAATTTGTCCCTTTATGTATAGAACAAATTTTTACAAATCTGATTAGACCTTTGTGTTTCACCTACAAAAATAAAACACTAAAGTCAATCTCTAATTTGGTGGCACAAAAGTTACTCAATCTACAAACATTCCAGTGTTCTGCAGCTTTCTTAGGAGCCATGAAAGGATTATATATTCTGTCCATGAGAGTTTACTCTCCTCTAGGAAGAAATTCTATAGTTGAAAAAAGTGTCATTTTTTTCCTAATACCAATTAAACAATGAAAACATATTCTATATATCAAGTACCAAACAATATGTTAAGTATGGGGAAAAAAAACAACTGGCTAATCAACTTATCATTGCATATGAGGATATAGCAACAAACATCTCCTAAATTCTAAATGTTACTCTCTCATCTTTTTGAAAAATATAGACAATTAAGAATAAAATCTACTACCAGGTATGATGTTAGGTACGAAGCTACTCAGGAAGTGGAGGCAGGAGGATCACTTGAGCCCAAGGTTTTGAGACTATAGTAAACTGATTGTGCCTGTGAATAGCCACTGCACTCCAGCCTGGGCAGCATGGCAAGACTCATCTCTAAAAAATTTATTTTATTTTTATAAATCCTTAAAAAATGAGAATACAATCTATAAAGAGAACATTAATCAATTAAAAATGACCCACAAAACAACATATCTGAGCCTTTAGATGCCATCTTTTAAAAAGTCCATTTATCTCTCCAGGATATTAATTTGCATCACATTTCTATCAAGAGGTAAATGTTAGGGGTGTGCAGATGCCTCAGGATGGGGATAAGCACTTGTTCAATATATACTAGCAGTGTATTCCAAAGAGACAGTCCCATAGACATTAAGAACATAGACCCAAATTCTAGGCTTCCTGGTTTCAAATCTCAGTTCCCCCTTTGACCTGAATTTGTGACTCTGAGCTATTGTTTTAGTTTCCTAATCTGCTTTTTATAAAGGGAGGGGGAAAGGCAAATTAATAAAAATTTCTACTTTACAAGGTTGTTGTAATGACTAAATGAATTGGAATGAATGCAGGTAAAGCATTTACAATTATACCTGGCATATAGCAAGTAAAGATTGGCTATTATTTTTTATTATTATTTTAGTCATTATTACTGTTGCTATATTATTGTATAATTATTATTCCAGGACTGCAGATCACATTTATCACCTTATTTAACCCCCTTAACCACCTGTGAATGGCTGTCTCCAGGTCAAAGTCCAGAGTCCTTGGTAGGACAGAGAGCAGCCGGCCGATTGAGTTGCCAGAATCTCTGGCCCTTCCCACATCCTCCCTGAGTGCCAGCCATTCAGATCTCACAGAGCACCCAGGAAAACCAGATGCTGCTCCACTTGGCACCTTCATCCTGTTTCCTATACCTGGAATGTCACTTGCATCAGGTTAAAGAACTTCTTCCTTCAGAATTCACCTCAGAGAGCCTCAGAGAATTAACATACATGGCTCAGAAAGTGTGATGCTTCCAGCTTTGTTCTTTTTGCTCAAAATCGCTTTGGCTATTCAGAATCTTTTGTGGTTCCATATGAGTTTAGGATTTTTTTTCCATTTCTAGAGATTCTTGAGGTTTTAATAGAGATTGCATTAAATCTGTAGATGACTTTGAGTAGTAAGAATATTTTAATAATACTAAGTATTCCAATCTACGAGCATGGGATAACTTTCCATTTATTTGTGTCTGCTTTCTTTAATCAGCGTTTATCATTTTCAGTGTACAAGTCTGTCACCTTGTTTAAGTTTATTCTTAAGTATTTCATTATTTTTGATGCTATTATACATAGGATTGTTTTCTTGATTTCTCTTTGGATAGTTAATTATTAGTGTATAGAAATGCAACTGTTTAAAGTTTATTTTGTATCTTACAGCTTTGCTGACTTTACTAGTTCTAACGGGTTTTTGTGTATGTGTGTGGAGTCTCTAGGGTTTTCTAGACATCAGATCATGTCATCTGCAAACGGAAATAATTTTGCTCCTCCTTTTCTGATTCGTATGCCTTTTATTTCTTTTTCTTGCCTAATTGCTTTGTCTAGGACCTTCAGTATTATGTTGAATAGAAGTGGTGAAGGTGAACGGGATCCTTGCCTTATGCCAGATCTTAGAAAAAAAAGCTTTCAGTTTTTCACAACTGAGTATAATATTAGCTATGTGCTTGTCCTATATGGCCTTTACTGTGTTGAGGTAATTTCCTTCTATGCCTAAGTTAAGAGTTTGTATCATAAAAGAGTATTGAATTTTGTCAAATGTTCTTTCTGCATCTATTGAGATGATCATGTGGCTTTTGTCTTTCATCCTAATTATGTGGTATATCACATTGATTGAGCTGCATATGTTAACTCATTCTTGAATCCCAGTGATAAATCCCACTTGGTCATGACATATTCTTCTTTTAATGTGCTATTAAATTCAGTTTGCTGTATTTTGCTCTAATCTTCATTATTTCCTTCCTTAGGCCAGTTTTTAGCTTAGCAGTTTATTATTTTGCTAGTTCCTTGACTTGTAATGTTAGGCTGCTTGAAATATGTCTTTTCTTAATGTAGGTACTTATTGCTATAAACTGCTTTTGCTGCATCAAATAAGTTTTAGTATTTTTTGTTTCCATTTTCATTTGTCTCAAAATATTTTCTAATTTCCCTATGATTTCTTCTTTGACCCAATGGTTGTTTAAGAGTGTGGTTTAATTTCCATGTATTTATCAACTTTCCCATTTTCCTTTTGTTGTTGATTTCTGGTTTCACTCCATTGTAGTCAGAAAAAATACTTGGAATGATTTTAATCTTCTTAAATTTGTTAAGAATCATTTTGTAACCTAGTATATGATTTATCCTGGAGAATGTTTCATGTGTTTGAAAAGAACATGCATTCTGCTAGTTTTGGGTGAAATGTTCTGTGCCTACCTGTTAGGTCCATTTGGTCTATAAAGCTGTTTAAGTCTGCTGGTTTTGTTTTTGTTTGTTTTTGAGACGGAGTCTCACTCTGTCGCCCAGGCTGGAGTACAATGGCACAGTCTCAGCTCACTGCAACCTCTGCCTCCCAGGTTCAAGCGATTCTCCTGCCTCAGCCTCCCAAGTAGCTGGGACTACAGGTGCACGCCACCACACCTGGCTGATTTTTTTGTATTTTTAGTAGAGACGGGGTTTCACTATGTTGGCCAGGCTGGTCTCGAACTCCTGACCTCATGATCCACCAACCTCGGCCTCCCAAAGTGCTGGGATTACAGGTGTGAGCCACCACACCCAGCCTGCTGTTTCTTTACTGATTTTTCTGTCCACGTGATCTGTCCATTATTGTAAGTAGGATATTTAATTCTCCTACTATTATTGTATTACTGTCTATTTTTCCCTTTAGAACTGTCAATGTCTGCTTTATATATTTAGATATCCTGATTTTGAGTGCATATATATTAATAATTATTCTCTCTTCATGTTGAGTTGACCCTTTTATCATTATGTAATTAACTTCCTTGTCCCTTGTGACAGTTTTTGACTTAAAGTCTATTTTGTGCAGATAGTGTAAGTCTGCTTATTTCTTAACGTCCATTAAATATGGGTTATACCAATAGATTTGAGAAAAAAAAAGTCTGTATTTGATTTTTTTTACTTGTCTGCATATAGCACTTTATCTAAAACAACTAAATATTAGAAGTTTATAACCAATTATTCAAATTCTAGACTATAAATACTTATATGCATAAATATATAAAAGTCATGTTTGAAGCCACATTAATTCGCTATACTCTGTATGAGAAATACAAAAACTATACACACATATATACAACAGACATTATACATACATATATACACTTCTATATACATCTATATGTATTACTTCATATGAATTATTGATTCACATATTCTAAATACTAAAGCACAAGATTAAACAAAGTCCCTAAGACTATGACTGATTTGATCCTTTCCTAAATTAAAGATATCTTAATCATCTTCATTTAGAAAGTGGTGTGTTGTATAGCTGAAGAACAAATTAATGGAAAAAATAGGAAAACAACATGGTATATTAAGGTTGTACCTGAAGTTATGGACTCAGATATATTTTAAAGAATAAGCAATTGAAGAGCTATACTCCCCAAATAAGAGAATATAAAAGGGAGAAATACATTATGTTTATTTCCCCTTCAGAGTTCCAGATTGTCTGAAAAATATGTAAAGGAACTCTCTCCCTACTTATACCCCAGATCAGACCTTTATTTCTAAGGTTTGGTTTGAAGCAAAAGGGCTTTGTCCCAAATGAGAAAGAAAGAGAGAACATAGCCCAGGAAACTGCTCTATCCTCTCTGATGATCTAAGAACATCCAGTGAAACTGAGAGGTTCAAGGAAAGATTTTAGAAGCCATTGTTCTTCAAGAATAAATGAGGAGAATGACCCAACAGTGAAGAAGATATGGATTGGAACAGGGGTTACATCCCTTTGGTCTGAGATTAAAACAAAGAGTGTTGTGGTTCAGGAATGGCATGCTACTTGCAAGACCTTGAATGATGGATGATGCCCACAGATGCTAAACTCTTGGCACCAGGGCCTTAAGAGAAGTGCCAATGTTCCCTGTGGCTGAGCCTGGAGCTAGCGGAGAGGAGGAGAGAGATGAGATCATCTCAGTGGCCTGCCCAGAGAAGCACTAAGCAACTGATGAGTTCTCCACAGCAGAGAGGACAAAAAGACAATGGGGATCAGTGTCAATTAACAACCAGAAGCCTCTTCATGCTATTTCCTGAGCCCTGTAAGCTTCAGAGTCACATATACCCCAGGGTTCTAGAACAACAAAAACTGATACCTGACTTCTCATTAACTTCACTCAGAGGAGCCTTGCAGCCAGATCTTATGTAATCTTTAAAAAACAAATATATAATATAGCTTGCCAATCAATTATCTGAAAAAATTTCCAACTGCTTCATAAACATTCCTATAATCCTTTTCCTCAGGAAAGGCCTCCCCCACTGCTTCTTTCTGAGAAAGAAGAAAAGAGATACCCAATTACATTTTAAAGAATTTTTAGCAGTTCCCACAAAGGCCAAATTCTGGGTTTCATTTTATTTTGAGACATTTAAGATCTGTGAAATCATGTTCCACACAATCACTCTCCTAAATATTCGTCACTTACTTGAAGTTGCCATGTTCTACTACTTAATTTTCTTTTTCTGTATGAGTCAATTGGTGGGTCCACCACTGAGTTTTATGTCCCCCTTATGGAGACCTGGAAGCTTCTCCAGGCTGCTATCTTCGAGTGGCAGGTTAACTCAGTGGGTAAGACACAGGCTCTAGAATCAGACATGTCTGTCTTTGAATCCTAGACCTGCCGCATCCGGGCTATATGACATAAGGTAAATTACTTCACCACTTTAAGTGTGAGTTTCTTTTTTAATAAAATGGAAACACTGATCCTAGTTATCTGAGATGGCTGTTGTGAGGATACAATGGGATAACGACATAAAGCTCTAAGCACAATGTTTGGCACATAATCAGTACTTGAGAAATGGTAGTTATTATTAGCAATAGAAAATCTAAGCTCCTGAAGGAATATCCAGTTACTATGACACTGCCTTCAGCAGCCAAACACTAATGAGTAGTTTAAGTGACACAGTTAAAGTTATGAACTGTGCTTCTAAGTTGCTTAAGCCTATTAACTTACTTGTGAGTTTTAAAACAATTTGTCTTTAACACAAGAAAATGTTCACAAATCTAAGGCCAGATCGACAAATTCCAGAGCAAATGTAAGTATACTATAAGGGAATACTTGGAAATTCAGACTTCAGACAAAACACAAAGATAAAAAATGTCCCAGCCAAAAGTATTATTATTTTTGAAGTATTATCAGAAAAGTATTATCATTTTTAAAGCAAGAATCACTTTTAAGGCAAGTAATAACTAATAGTGACCTGATTAGTAGTCAGAATTTTTAGAAAAGTGCTTGCTAGAGTGTCATATTCCAAATGTTATCTGTGGAACCTTATAGTATATAATGAGCAAAAATGTCTCTGGCAACACTTAACTAAAACCGATTCCTATGCAGGCATCAATTCTGTAACAGATTTTTGACCCCTAGCCAACAAATGTAATCAGTGCTATGCTGATAAGTATTTAAAATCCAGCTCCCAAGGGAAGGGATGCCCTTGATTTGTAGTGTTTGCCAGTTTTCATGGATACAATACTCTACAATGACCCATTTCAAACTAACAATCAGTTCTCAAAAGCCAGCGCTAGCCAAGACCACCATACCACCTAGATATGAAGTTGGCATTCAAAATGGTTAGGAGTCCACTTGAATAGGGTTGTTACAAGAAAACCAAGGAATTAGCCCACAAATGAAAAGTAAACATAGATAAATGATATATAGATTTTTCTAGGCAAGTGACTGAAGCAAATTTACAGTGGGCTAATTACATAGGTATGATTCAGGCTCTGTTTCCCTTTCAACCACATTCCTCTGTCACTGAGAGCTCATCTGCCCTCTGCACGAGTGGTTTCACACACTTGCATCAACTTCTTCTATACAGATGCTCTTGTCTCTTAAGTCTTGTCTCTTAAGACTGTTGCTACACTGAAGCTTTCACCTGCCCACTTGAGGGGCTCTCAGGTTCTCCCTGAATTCACTCATTAATATCATTCACCAAGAAATAATGGTATTTTTCCCTAACTTTCCTCATAAGATTATTGCAGTTTCCCTTTTATCAGTAAATCCACCAATTATGCTAAAACTCCTCCAGCTAGTGACAGAGGAATGCTCTCTATGAATAGAAAGAGATTAGTTATCCAGTTAAGAATTTGCTTGCCTGATCTTTCATTTGGAAACAGAAAAACTAAGCTTTTAGGAATACCACTTGGAAGACTGCAGGAAAACCCAAATACACTCCCTCTCTTTTATTTCCAGCTTCAAACTTTAGTCTACCCTCTCGACTATTTTGCTGCAGGAACCCCTAACTCACTAAATTAACTAAATTAACGATTTTAAAAAGTAAAGTTTTAAGTGAAAATAAATTTACATTTACATTTATTTCATATTTCTCTGTTATTTTATAATGTTGTACTTCAAACCTCCCAAAAGACAAGCTGTTGAATGTGATATCCAGCAATTCTATAATCTCTCTGTAGGTTATACTAAAAAAAATTAAGTTATTTCTATGGCTAAAAAAAATATCCATTGCAAGATGAAAGATTTCTGTGGATGGATTGTGGTAATGATAGTAAACAATATGAATATATTTAATGCCCCTGAACTAGACACTTAGAAATGGTGACGATGGTAAATTTTAAGTTATGTGTATTTCAACAGAATTTAACATTTTTAAAATAAGAAAAAATCCATTAAAAAGAAACTTTGCCACTCTGCCCTCCCATGGTTTCAAATAAGAAAATAGATTTTAAAAAAAAATAATAACATTCTTTAATATTGCCTTTGTCTCATTACAGACTTGAGATATAAGGACATCTAGTGATGAGAAAGGCTGCATTTATTCTGCTGGTTATCAATGCCATATGCTCATTTTTGTAAGGTCTCCTACATTCATTATAATTAACATCTAGGGCTAATATGAAGAGGTAATTGTTTAATCAAGAAAACAAATGGTCAAAATGACAAAACATACTGCATTCTTTGCCTCTCACTGGGTCAGGCAGGCCAGAGCAGTCCACTGCAGAATTTGGAATGGCAACTCTCCACCTGGAGCCACTGCTATCACATTCCGTATATTCAAAGTGATAATCTTTCTGCAAACAATCACAAAAACAAGCCTTTGTTAGAGCCAGTTCTAACGGGACAACTGTGCTTTCTCTATCACCCCAAGCCCCTGTTTCCAAGCTGTACCCTCTCCTTGATTCTTATCCCTCCCCCATCCCACCCACACCAAGCAGCTTATTGATCAAAGAGGTATGGTGCTAGACACAGAGTAGGTGCTGAGGAGATGATGCAGGACAGGACAGTCAACGCTGTCAGGTTGTGACCATTATCCTTTCATCTCACCCATCCAGAAAAGCTACAGCACACTTCCCTATCTCTTGCAGGCTTTTTAAGCTCTAAATAACTGATAGATGTGAGTAGGAGAAAGAGCAAAATAACACTAGGAATTTGACTACTGTCATTGTCCCATGTGTTTCAAAGAAAGAAACAAGAGAACTACTTCCATTGACCTAATTCTCACTCTGTTTAAAATTTAACAGAAGGTGTAAAAATTAATCATCAAATACTAATAAAAGACTACAAGTTTTTAAAGCAGCTCTCCCAGGCTTACCACACATGTACCACAGCAGGCTGCCATCAATTACGGACTATTAAAATTGACCATTAATTACAACTGCCAAATTAAAACCAACCCCCAACCCACTTGTCTCCAGCCTTTGATTGTTTTGAAATTCTCACAATGACCTCCCTTGGTCAGAGCACATTACACATAAGTGATATTTAAACTGAGAAGAACCCAAACAAAATATTATTGGAGCATTTTAAGAATGTGAGAAATTCCAAATCTACCCCAAATTGTTTTCAGTTCAATACCTTACTTATTCAGTTCAAAATCCTGGTTGTGGTTATTCTGCTGCATCCACACTGTTTTGCCTCCCTCACTGTGTCAATGACAAGTGAGAATAGAAACATCAAGCCACATCACCATGCGGACATCAGGAATGAGAAGGCCATTGTCTTTGACCTTCTCTGCATAGCACACTTTGCTAACAATGACTGTCCTAATTTTAACATTTTTTGCAATCTAGATAAGCTGAGATTTCCCAAATCATCAAGTCTGGGTTCCCGTTTATTTAACAGTTCTTCCCTCAATGTATCTTGCTTCTCTCATAATTACTATAAGCAACAAGAAGAACCCAGGCCATTCCTTCAGCACTTTGCTTGGAAATCTGCTCAGCTAAATATCCAAGCTCATCTTACAAGTTTTGCTTTCCACACAAACATAGGACCACAATTCTGCTAAGCTTTCTACCACTATATTAAAGGGGTCACCTTTCCTCCAATTTCCTGGAGGAAACATTGGAATAAATATTTATTTATTTATGAGATATTCCTCTTTTCTTTCGGGGCCCTCACTAGTATCACTTTCAATATT
Organism: Homo sapiens; assembly: GCF_000001405.40. Lineage (NCBI taxonomy): Eukaryota > Metazoa > Chordata > Mammalia > Primates > Hominidae > Homo > Homo sapiens. The sequence goes on from NC_000007.14 coordinate 86,966,371, forward strand.
TTTAAAAATATTCTGCTTATGACAATTTACATATTCTTTAAGATGATACAGACATTTTCTGCCATGCTTCTCACTTCCTTCTGAGCCTTCACAGGCAGTCTCTAAAATCCACATTTCTACCAACAGTCTGTTCAAGGCCATCTAGACTTTACTAGCATGCACCTCAAAATTCTCCCAGCCTCTGCCCATTATCCAGTTCTAAAGCCACATTCCCGCTTTTAGGTGTTTGTTACAACAACACTTCCCTTCAAGGTACCAAAATCTGTATTCGTTTCCCATAACAGCCGTAATAAATTAGCAGAAACTTAGCAACTTAAAACAACAGAAATATATTCTCTCACAGTTCTGGAGGCTGGAAGTTCAAAAGCTGTATTACAAGGCTGATCAAGGTATCGCCAGGCCACACTCCCTTAGGCAGCTTGAGGAGAGAATCCACTCCTTGACCCTTCCAGGTTCTGGCGGCTGCCACCATTTATTGCCCTGTGGCTTCATCACTCCAGTCTCTGCCTCTGTGGTACCATTGCCTTCTCCTCCTCTTGTGATAGCATTTAGGGCCCATCCCAGTAACCTCACTTTCTCAAGATTCTCACTTTAAATCTTCAAAGTCCTATTTTGTCATATAAAAATAATATTTACAGGTTCTGGGGATTAGGACTTGGATTTTTTGGACGACAGGGGCAGTAGGAAGGAGTATGATTCAGCCTACCACACCCTCCCATGGTAGAATAGCCTTGGCCTGCCATGTATTTGCATAATTGCTTTCTTGTTTCTCTTGTTCCTTGTTATTTGTATTAGAATGTATGTCTTGGCTAGGAGCTGTGCCTCAGCCCTGTAATCCCAGCACTTTGGGATGCCAAGGTGGGCAGATCACTTGAGGTCAGGAGTTTGAGACCAGCCTGGTCAACATGGCGAAACCCTGTCTCTACTAAAAGTACAAAAATTAGCCGGGCGTGGTGGTGTGCGCTTCCCAGCTACTTGTGAGGCTGGGGCATGAGAATCACTTGAATGCTGGAGGCAGAGGTTGCAGTGAGCTGAGATTGAACCACTGTACTCCATCCAGCCTGGGCAATGGAACGAGACTCCATCTCAAAAATAAAATAAAATAATGTCTGTCTTATTTCCATGTTCCACTGAAAAGATTCTGGCCCCTATATATAAAATTTAGGTGATTTCTTATCATCCTAGCAAAATAATGATACTGTGAAGTCATATGAATTTCAAATAAAGCAAGGCCTCTGAATAAAACAGGTAAGCTCCAAAAAACTTTCCTCCATCACTGCCTCTGTTATTCAGCCTGCCAGTTATGAGATGAGAACAGCAATCAGAACATGGAAAAGGTATTGTGTTTTCTGGCTGTAATGTTGGATGTCATGTGCCAATTAATTTTCCTAAGACTCCTTTATCCTATCTGCCTTCTCTAGATTACTCAAGGACTCTAATTAGAAAGCTACAGCTACTATTGTTACCAAACTCTTAGGAGTTCAGCAGGAAGCTTTAATTTATTTCTTTACAATTTAAAAATACTGAAATGCAAACCTATTTCATGCAGAGGGCAGACCTTGGGGTCAGGGATTTAGATAGTAGCCCAAATCAAATGGGTTTTATTTTAAATTATTTAACAGGCTACTTCATTTGGGCTGGTAACAAATAATAAAAAACAACAAAAAAAAATCTGCTTCTAAAGTCAATCCTTAAATCCATAGAAAGATCTAAGAAACAGTGTGGTACAGTAAAATTGCGAAAGGTACGATGTATATTTTCCAAATATTCTGAATGGCATTCAGGGTACTGAATAAAGAGAATTACAGCACATATGTTTTCAGGTTTATAGGTAACACCCCAAAACTCTAACCACAGATGCAAGTAAACATTGAGCACTTAAAACTGGCCCCTTGGAAACGGAAATTTTCAAAGGATCATTTAAAAGAAAAAGTAGATTATTTCTCATACAAATAGAAAATTAATACATGTCAAAAATTTTGTCATTATTTAGCAAGTCAACCAGTAAGATGTTATCACCAATTCAAAGGAGAATTCGAAGGACATACCAAAACAGGCAATTAGGAAAGTGAAATGAGTTTATTGGGAGATGCAAAACTGGTAAATATCCAGAGGGTAATAATCAATTGCATTTCAAAGGATAAAATACATTTTCATTTCTATGGACAAAAATCATTTGTATTATTATCAGTTACCTACAACTCAGCATTCTAAAACAGTCCAAAGACAATGAAAGGTGCAGGCTGCTATAGAAACTGATCATTCTGAAAGGTGCACTAAAAAGCACATCCAATAATCTTTTCTGCCTATTTTAGCATGCTTCACAATTTTTCCTGAAAAGGGGAAAATTCTTGACAATTTTCCCTACACTTCAGGGCTTCTGACAGTTTATCAACAAACACATTGATATGAGTCAGAGCACACTCCAAACAACAGAACATCAGCTCACAAGCCACACTCTCCAAATTATAAACTGGAAGAAGTGCCTGGGCCCATGCCAACTCAAAGGATGGCAGTTATTTAGACATTCTGCAAAGCACAGAATGCTGGGGTGTGGAGACACTGCCCCAAATAATAAAACAATAAAATTCCCTATAAACCTTGCATTGTAAATATATGGAAACCAGGAAACATCCCAAGAAGAAATAGAACATGGAATTACTCCTCATCACAAAACATGTAAGGAAAAATTACCCTTCCATATAAATCATGGCACACTACACAGGCACGAACTTGCACACACTGACATGCACATTCACAAATCAAAGTACAGATATGAATCCTTGAATAACAAAAATTCAAATTGTGTTATCTTACACCAAAAACACAAAAATTCAGGATACATCCAAGTAAATACTGGATGTCATGGTACCCCCTCAAACACCAAAGTCATCCACACTACAAAAGCTGCATGGTGCTCACTGAAATCCCCAGGGAATCATCTCCCAATTCTCATAACAATACTTACAGTTAAAATATAGACTAGATAATTTTTCAAATAAAATAAAAATAATATGTATATATGTTGACACATTGACCATATATATTTTTATATACTGACATTAACATATATTGCATCTTAAATATGATTTATGCATATAGCAATATATCATTTTCATTAATATATATCATTATTTCCTGGCACTTAATTATTAAATAATTATGATGGCCTAAGGGTTATGGGAGAAATTTTAAGTAAAACATAGTCCCTGTACTCAATAAGCTTATGATTTTGTTGAAGTAGACAACACACACAAAAAACATAAATTTATAAGAAAGCATAAAGAATAAGGGCTCAAAGTGGAACAGTGACATCACAAGTCAGTGCCCAAGTAAAAACTCTTGTCAAAATTTCCAATAAAATTCCTTAACTCTCAGATTTTCTAAGGACCTTTAAATGTTAGAATCGCATTCAGTAGAGTATGTGCGGAAGAGTATACAAAATGCGACCCTATTTTATTATGATTTCAAAGTCAGAAGAAAGCTCTGTGAGCTGGAACAGTGAGAAAAGGCTTTAAGGAGAAGACCCTGAAATATGGGAGGATTTGTAACTATATTAGCACTTACCAGTTCCTTTGAAAATAGCTAGTTTGATAGGATGTGGTAAGCAGCAAGATCAAGCCTGATGAAACTATGCCTAGAGCTGTGCAGTGAAATACATCAGCCTCAGCCTAGGGTGGATGAATAGGTGAGTGAGTGAATGTAGTCTCCGGGTCTTCTATACTCAGATTAGCTCACATTAGTAAACTGCCAATGAGAAAATCAGCTCCCTGATTGCTCCCTGTCTATCTTCTGTAGGCAGTTAAGAGTTGACTGCAGTTAATTATCAAGATACAGCAGATGACCACAAATTCTAGTACAGAATCAAAAGCAGCAGAGGCAGTAGAAAGCCTCTATCTTCAAAGCAGAGAAAATGCTGGTACCTAGAACACACACAGATGGAAAGGACAAAAAGAAGTAAATGTAATTAATTTTCTTCATTTCATTTTGTTCATGTAAAATTCCTTCTCTTTGAATTTTTTAATGTGAAATGTTGAGAACACCATAACCTTGTATTTGATGAGACCGCAAATCCTCTGGGAGAAAGGCTTCCGAATTTAAGTGCTCAGCAAAGAACTTGGCACACTTATTTGAGAGAGCAAAATGGCAAGAGGAAAAAAGGGAGACAACAAGAGATTGCAGTGGCACAATTATTTCAATTCCAGTTGCAATGAGTGTGCATGCCTCATTCTACTATGTGGAAAGGCCAAAAGCAGGAGAATACTTAATGCAGAAATACATGCAACTTATACGAGCTCCTTTAGCCTACATTATTAAGTACATGAGCACAGAACTGTGCAGCAATATTTATATTCAAGTTTTTCTTTTATAAAAGGAACATGATGTTACCATGGAAACCTGCTAAGTAATATGTATCTGATCTATTTATGACACATCCTTTTCACTGTGGCCACTGTATTTCTTTTTAGAAATTATTTTGGAAAAAGTTCATATTTTAAACCTGAGTTCAATGTCTATCTTTGTAAACAGGTGCTCAATTCATTTTTGAAATTATTTATGTTTATTGAGTACCTCCCATATGCCACTGTGTAGACTCTGGGGATACAGCAGTGAACAAAATATCCAATTCTCTGCTCTCATGGGGCTTATATTCTAGTTTTAATGAAAGTACATAAGGTTTCTTTCTTAGAAAGATCCAGCTTAGACTATTTTCTTTCTATGGCTCTCAATCGCTGTAAAAAAACAGGCAATGAACTGGTAACAACAAACCTAGATCCCAACCTCACCTCTGCCATTACTATATTTAAGACTAAGTGACGCAACTAACTCTTTGAACCTCAGGTTCCTTTGAATCTTTGAAAGAAAAAGCTATGCTTCACATCTTATGGTCTATGTTCCATATTTTCACTGTTCTTGATAAAGAGAAACCAACCACATTCTGTAACCATGTATTTCTCAGGAAATTTTCAAAAAATGAACATTCTAAAACATACCTACATATGAATAAATGAAAGAAACATTTCCATTTTCTCAAGAAACCTGCAGCTAGACATTCTACAATAATATTAGAAATATGAACTAAAACCCTCATCGAAGATAATGAGGAAAATGTTTTTAAAATCAGCTTTCTCACATTTAAAGTATATCTTATTGTATAAGACAGACTTCAAGCACATGCATCGTTCTATTATCTAATTACATTTAAACTTATTGAATTAAATATATGTTTATCTCTGCTCCTCACCAACCTGCAAAAGAATGGAGTTTCTAAAGAGAGCAGAGTAAAGGATTAAAAATACCAAAGAGAAGTGAAAACAGCAATAGATGCAGGTGGCAACAATTATTTCTGGAAGATGAAAAGCATAGGTGAGTTCTAATTGACTTATCAAGGCAAGAAAAGCCGAAAGCTAAGGGTAACAGAGATGGGGATTTAAGCTGCAGAAAGACTCATAATTGAAGGTACCAAAAACCTCAGAAATCAGAGGTGAAAAAAAATCTATCTAGAAACAGAAAGACTGGTTGAAAATCTGTTTGAGAATTGTTAAAGTATGCCCCAAGCTGACAGACAATATGGACTCCCTGTGGCTATCTGAGGTGGTCAAAGTTTAAAAAGAACCAGGCAACCATGGCTAGGTGAAGAAGCAGTCATGCATTCTGTGTTCTCAGAAAGATGTAAAAGTGTTAGAGGACCTCGCTTTCTACAATCAAGCCAAACCATTTCTTATTGTCAGTGCCAAGATAAACCATGGCCAGAAACCACCACCCCACAAGCCCACTGGAAACAAATACCTGACAGAGACTTCTGATTTGAGGCTTGGAACCAACCAATCAAAGCTCTTTTGCCCCAGCCAATCAGAGCTTGGTTGTATCGCTCATCAGAATTCAGCTGCACCACCCAATCAGAACCAAGACAGTGTCAATCCTTCATTTGCACAAATGAATCTGATTGGGAACCCGGGCAGTGAGTTTTGCTATAAAACCCTAACCCTCCTTTGTTCTCAGGAATGCAACTTCCTTTTCATTAAAGGCTGCACCTCCCTGGTTTGCAGACTCTTCACTGGAATAAACTCTCCTCCAAATTCCTTTTTAGAGAACTTTTGCTCACAGAATGTAAACCTTTCAGTTTCCCTTCCACATCATGACAAGAGAAGAGTTATTTCCTCTGGGAAAAAATTGAACTAGGGAGGTTACAGATTCAGGGACATCAAGTAAGAAAAAAAAAAAGTTTTTTGTTTTTTTTTTTTTAAATGGAACTATGTAAACAGCTAAGTAATGAAAGATGAGATCCACCTCGGGCACACATCCCCAACACTGAAACCCAAGTCAAGCTACCTCCAATGCCACTGTCCTTTCCGCTTGAACCACCACCCCCAAAGACTAGCAGAGCCATCTTCCTGCCTTCCCAAAGGTGCCTTCAGTGGATGTTATACCCTACACTGGTACTCTTTCCCACATCATTTCAGCTGATTTTCACACTTGCTTACCTTAGAATTGAGATTAGCTGGAATGTAATCTTTATCCATAATATGATCATTACTATTGTCATTAAAAATATTAACATTTGCATAACTCTGTAAGCTTTCCAAAATAATTTTCATGACATTAACCCACTTGAATTTGTCCACAGTATGGTCCCACATAGTAGGCAAGGGTCATCCTCATGGCTACTGACCTATTTCAATCTCATCTCCTGCTGTCCAGATGAACACCACCATCAGCCTAATGGGCCTCTTTGCTTCTGCTCTTGCCCACACCTACTACACTCCACAGCCAGTTCTAAATGGAAGATCTCATTATGTCATCCTTGCTCAAAACCCCAGAATGACTTACCATTGGCCTGAGGATAAAGTCTACAATCTTGGATTGCATAAAATGCCTTTTTCAATTCATTCTCGATCTGCTGCTTGAAGCTTCATTTCTTAACATTATTCATATATGAAATATTGAAACTACAGGATCAAACATGCTATACAATTCCTTGCCTCCAGACCCCAGCATGTAAGTGACTTTTTCTCTGCCCGGAAGGCTCTTTCTGCCCACATCTTGAAATAGCATGTGGAAATCTGTATGATAACAAATCACTGTGTAACAGGTTCTCTTTCAGGTCCACCCCTACTCTTTGCAGGACCAAGGCCAGGAGCATAAATCAATGTGCCTCTTCCTCCTCAATACCTATCCTGCACCCTGAGAGGTCTGCTTCACATACAAAAGGCAACCCCAGCCTGCACATCCAACTCTGGTAAGTGTTCCTGCACAATGGTATGGTCTATTAATACATCAGGAAGATGGACCTGGGAAACCTCACAAAGGACCTGGAAGCAATCTTGGATCTTTTAGGCAGGTAATTTCAAAGTCATGTTAGCAGAGTATGATAAAAAGAAGGTGGGGCATGACATCCAGGTGGCCACAGCTCCTTGGCCCACAGACTGTAAAGCAACAAGAGGAACACAGCTAGAGGAGGACCCTCTATAGTAGAGACCAAGGCAGGGGCCCCTCTTGCCTGGTCTAAAGGTAGTATTGGTTTCTATTATATGACAACATCCAAACATAAGAATAGCAAGAAAGATAGCTACCACTTTATAAACTAAAATTTAAAATTTCTTAGAAGGGAGGGAGGATCCCTCCCTCTACCTCTTGAAGGGTCTTCACGTAACTGGGTAATAGTAATTTTCTTTTTTTTTTAATTCCAAACCCAAATTAAAATCACAACGGTATATGAAAGTATAATTTTCCAAAAAGGGAAAAGCAAAATCCTTGGAAACCCATTTGTTCTGTCTAATTATATATGGTTACAAACTTAACTGTATATAAGCTAATAAATTCTTCTAAATTAATCAGGCTGAAACTAAAAGGGCGTCTTTGCTTTTGCAAGGTTTCAGCAACTGCTTACTATTTAATAAGCACCAAGAGAAACTACATCAAAATTTCCAAATATATTATATATACCCCGTGATACCTCAATTCCACTTCTAGGCATGTAATCCAAGGAAGCCATGTTTGTATCATAGCATTATTTAAAATAGTGAAAACTTTAAAACAATTTAACTGTGAAACAATAAGAGACTGGTTAATAAATTAGGGTACACACATAATAAGATTTCATATAGTCCATTTTAAAATAATACAAAGGTATATTTAATAACAAAATTATTTATGACACATTTAAGTGTTAAACACAGGTTATAAAGCAATATATCTGAACCCCTGTAGTGTGTGTGTGTGTGTGTGTGTGTGTGTGTGTGTGTGTGTTGGATACATGAAAAAAGACTATAGGCATATATACCAAAAGATTGACAGTAGTTAACTAAGTGATGTGACTATCTTTATTCTATATAATTATGTATTATCAAAATTTTCTACAGTTAAAATATATTTATTTCCCTCAGTTCAGTTAACTGCTTTGCCAAGACATAAAAAAAAATTCATATTTCTCCTTACTTTAGGATATCTGGTGGGACATGGGAAAATTCAAATGGTACCACTGAAGGATTATTCCATAACATTCATTAGCACCTCAGTCTAAATCACTTTCCCTGATGGGTGACATTCACCTAGCAAGGCTTTAAAGGCCAGGTCATAAGTAAGACACAGGTCAGATAAGTTCTGAAGAAGGGAAAATCTAACGCTTAAGTACTTTCGAAATGAGCAGATACAAGAAGGATTCTGCTACAGAGTGGATAAAGAAAAGTGGGAATAGTCAAACGAGAGAAAAGAGAACAAAGAGATGATGGAGCACAGACAGCACAGTTCGCTGACTTCAAAATTTGGCTTCAGAAGGGATAACTCCACATCTGAATTCAGCTAAGCCGCTGGCAGATCTCAGACAGAAAAAAAATTATAAAAATTCAATTTAAATGTAAAAGCTGATTCTTGCCAATGCTGCCACTTGAAATTGAGCTTTACTTTGTACAGAAATAGTATAAGTGATAAATGGCTCTGAACATTAAGACATCCAAAATTATGTTTTTGTTTGCAAATTGTGAGATAAATAAAAATAAGTGAGTTATTTAAGTTCTTTTGCACTCAACTGACCCTGTAAGAATCTCTTAAATCAATAGATTTTTTAAAAAATAATAATGTAACCCTAATAATACCTCTGTCATAACTATACTTTCTAAAATTAACCTTAAAACATCTATTAAAAGGTTTTCTTCTTAATCATAAACATTAGACACCTGCTGTTCTGTCTGCCTGGCATGGCTTTCCTATTTCTTTAGGTAACAGCATGCCCCCTGCTCTCATTACACTTTGCAGTTCTGAGTGGGCCAACCCCTGGCCAGGCCCTAATATGGACATGCTATCTGGACAGTCACAATAAACTATTCACACTGGTGCTAACCAAGATGGAGAAAGTCCGCTACAGTTTCTTTTTCCCACTCTGCCCAAAATATAAAAGCAAGACTCTGCAAAATAAACAGCAGGTAGTCTGAATAAGAAAGTCAAAACTTTCTAACAGCTAATACAATGGTAGGGAGTTACCGGGCTTCTTTTCTTTCCTTTTTCTCCTTGAGCTGAAGGTGGGCCAAATCAGGGAATTGCACAGTGGGTTCAGAATGCAAAAAACTACAAGAGAAGCCCATTTTTCTGGCCAGAAGAATAAGAAAAGAGATCCCTGTGGTTGGAGTACTGGGAGAGGGGAAATGGGATCAGAAAGTGAGAGGGATATCCATGTGCTTTTTTTCTTCTTTTTCTCTTCCAGTCCTTCCCCACGGCCAGCACCAGCTTAGAACAGCACTGATTCCACAACAACCATGCAAACACCTAATATGCCAAGAGAAAACCTCTCTCTCTAGATAAGATAACTAGAACAGGGACTTCAGCTGTGCAAAGAGCTTAGGAGAAAATCCTTATTATTCTTTTTCTTCCTTCCTTCACTTGTCACTTCATCCCAGGCAAGTAGAATTGCACAAAAACATGCAGGCTAAAACTATACAATAATCCATCTTTCTGGCCAGAGGAAATATAAAAAGCAGTCCTGAGAAAATATTCCAGAGAGTAATAGAGAAGATAATCCTCTGGTTCAGTCTATGAAGTAACAGTCCCAGGCTCACCTTCAAACTGTGCAAATATGGAATATACTCAAAGAAGTATAGCAAAGGCATGGAGAGCTGAACTACAATATAAACCACTATCTGAACTAAACCCTGAGTATTGAGCAAGGGGCAGATGATCCTGCCCCTCACCTGCCCCCTCCACACACACAAAAGATAAAAACAGCCAAAGTTTTGAAAACTGAATAGACACTGGAAGGAACCACCACACATAAAAGGGAGAAAAAACATGTGGTCTGAACCTAACCAGGTCAACTGGCTGCTGAAACAAACCAACCGTCTACAGAGGATTTTATAAGGATCTAGAGATTCACAACATAATATTAAAAATATCCAGAATACGATCAAAAATCACTTGGATATACAAAGAACAAGGAAAATCCGACTAATGCTCCAGAGAAAAGACAATCAACATATAACACCACCAAAATGTCACAAATATTAGATTCTCTAAAAAATGTAAAGCATCTATTACAACCATCATGCATAAGGTTAAGGTACTCTAGGGCCTGGGGTCCTCAGAACTGCCCTGCATAAGTTCTGTGTTTTCAAGCTTAAACTGTGTGAGTCGGGTTGCTGTCACTGCAACTATGGGTGCTAACAGATACTTGAGATAGGCAATAATTCTATAATACCAACTCATATTTATGTATGTCTCAAATCTCAGTCAAGGTTGATGAGTGTGGTGGTGATGATAGCTGCCACTCATTAGTGATACATATCAATCATTGTGCTAAGTTCACAATATCTTAGTGCTGTCGACCACCTTGTAAGGCAGAGTTTTTACAGATAAGGAAACCAACAAAGATTTAAGTAACCTCCCAATGTCATAGAGCTGATTTATAGGGGTTCTGGGATTAGAATCTAAGTGCCTAACTCTAAAGCCTGTCCTCATGACCATTATAGTTCCCGTCCTGGATCCTAAGAGCTAATGTTAAATCTAAAAACTTCATAAACAGAAATCAGAATAAAAGCTGATGCCTCATTATTCCTCCCTGTACATCACAGAAAGCAGAATTTGGCTAGCAACATCCCCTTTCACCCAATCTCTCCCCGTATCTCTCAATATCATGTCTCTCCCTATATCATACCTCTCCCTGTACTCTCAATACCATAACACCACCCTGTCTCCTGAGGAATCAATAACCTCAAAGTAAATTTTAAAATAATTCTTCACAAGTTATCTGTTCCAAAATAGCTTTACTTTCTACCACGTCTTCTAATTCCTCAGCTTTGTCTGTTTTCCTACATCAGTTTCAAAACAATATTTAATATTTTGTTTTCTGATTACAAAGCAATACATATTCAGTATGAAGAGTTTAGAAAATAGTGAAGCACATAAAAACCTATCATAATATCATCAACCAAAAATAACCACAGTTAGGATGCCAATCATTTTTCTAAGCACATTTATTTAAAAATTAAGATACCCTTTATCATATCAAGTTTATATTTTGCAAGTAATAAGTATTAACATTTACTTGAGAAAATTAGAAAATATGGATAAGGATGGCTTTTCAATGGCATTCTCTTTGTTCATATTTTTAAAAGTTATATATTAATATGTCATGGTCACTTCCTGATATGGTTTGGCTCTGTGTCCCCACTCAAATTTTACTTTTAATTGTAATCGCCATAATTTCCACCTGTCAAGGGTGGGACAAGGTGGAGATAATTAAATCATGGGAGCAGTTTCCCCATGCTCTTGTGATAGTGAGTGAGTCTCGTGAGGTCTGATGGTTTTATAAGCATCTGGCGTTTCCACTGCTTGCAGTCATTGTCTCTCCTGCCACCCTGTGAAGAGGTGCCTTCCGCCGTGACTGTAAGTTTCCTGAGGCCTCCGCAGCCATGTGGAACTGTGAATCAATTAAACCTTTTTCCTTTATAAATTACCCAGTCTCAGATATTTCTTCATAGCAATATGAGAACAGACTAATACACTTCCAGTAAGAAAATTAAACATTTATCTTTTCACAAAATATAATACACATCTCTTCATCTAGGAATAAATTAAGAAAAAATATAAGACACACTGGTTGGGAATTATAAAGCCTATTTGCCTTGCTCTTTTCACCAGTACTTATGGATATCTTTCTTTTGTGGGAAAAATAAAGGAACATTTTCTCAGTGCTCTCAGGCCCTTCTCCATGATTCACTGCAGAAACTTCAAGCAGGCAGATTGTTTATAGTCTAAGAAGGAGGCTGAGGCAAGAACTTGATTATCATCCCAGCACCATCATTTTTCCAACTGTGTGCCTTAGGAAGGGCACTCAGTGTCTCTGAACCTCAATTTCCTTGTCTATCTGTAATAAGATTGTAATGCCTTACACCTCTTTATCTTGTAAGGCTATAGGAATAAATATACATGGTAATATTTAGGCTTGAGTGCCAAGAAAACTCTTAATTATTGTGTTTCAGGTCATAAACTATACTAGACACCAGGAAATAATGACTATAACTGTATATTTTTTTGTTTGATCCTTGTGGCAACACTGTGAGGCAGGTACTGACACATTTCCTCAATTCTGAAATGCAGATTTGAAGACTTTTGAAACCACATCAAAAGAAACTTGTCACTAGCTTTGCAGAATAAGTGTCAGAGCCCATGCCTATGCAAATTTAATAGGCCAACTATGCACTCATTTTGTTATCACTTCAGTTACCTGTATCACAAGAGTTGGATTTACCTTTAACTTTCTTTATAGCATCTGAATAAAGATTGCACAATGATGCAGCAAAGAGACCAAAAGTTAATGTATACAAAAGATTACCTCTGCCACAAGAGGTAATATAATTAAGAGGACAAAAGTTGCCAACTCCCCGAGAAAAGACCACGTTAAGTTTAAAAGCTAGAACACAACCACTTCATGCATCTTGAAGGACTGTCACTCAGATACTATCTGCCAAACACTTCTGAATAACTCCTAAGAGACATAGTTTAACTACAGGTGACAAAATCGTAAGTGTAACCTAGTAGAACAAAGAAGCTTTTAGGGGTATTTATAAAAAGAGCTCAAGTTATTCACAGTAGGGAAATATAAATTAAAGCCTAACAAACAAAAACAATAATAGGAAATGAGACACCAGTCCAGCCCTAACTTATGGGATGCTGTTAAAACTAATTGATTAAGTACATTAATTGGCAGATGCCTAAACCCAACTAAGCTAGAGCATGAGCTCACAAAAGACTTGACATGAGTAAAGCCAGAATGTGGAGAGAATGCAAGACAGGGTATAGAGTAATAAAAGAAGAAAATTGGGGAGATACTAATATGGAAGGCAAGACAGAGGTAGTATCAGGTCAAGCCAATGCGAGCTAGGATCCCAAGCACAGGTTTAGAAAAGAAACATGTCACCCAATCTCACAAACTGCCCACGGACAGAAGTAGCTCAGGAGACTCCCAGGGGTGTCCAAGGGAGAGAATACAGTTGTGGGTTCTTCGTTTCTGTTTCTGGTTGGGCCAGTAAAGCCCCTTTCTCATCTCTTTTTTCCACTTATCACTAGAGACAGAAACTAAAAATCATGGTTTCAGGCTGCTAAAAGCCTAAAACAAAACAAAACAGAACAACAACAAAATAATGTGGGCTGGACAAGCTTGCTAGATATTCCAGGCAAAAGCACAGACTTGGTCTTTGACAGAGATATTAAAGAAGAAATTATACAAAATTAAGTGGATACACTTATACTATTGTCGGTTGGAAAAAATTATTGTACATTTAACAGAGTGGCAATTTCTCTCACTTACCAAAAAAGGTAATAAAACTCTGGTACGTTTTAGAATAAATAGTGCCTTTGAATTAAGGAAATATGGTATTGAGAGAAATCTGAGATTCCAGGTTTCTGACATCAAACAGTATGTGTGAGGCAAAGCCAAGTGCCAAAAATAGCACAAGAACAATTCTGTCTTTGCTGTATTACAGTTACTAACCTTAGCAATTTACTTACTAACATACATTTGAGGCAGTTCCCTCTTTTATTACTTGCTTTTAGTACTTCAGCACTTCCTATCTCAGCTGGATCCCCACCCGCTTTCTGCAGTCTTTACGGACACCTTCCCTAGTCAGTTCACCTTCCCACTCTCCTCATGACAATTCTAAAATTGTTTCAAGCTCAGTCCCTTCACTCTCTACAAATAACCTTGCATTCTACGTTGACAAGAATATAAAAGCTCTCTAGGCATTAGTTTCCTCAAATTGTCTCCCATCTTCTGTTTGGGCATGCACAGACTGACAAGCATGCCTCCTTCCTGTGGGTCTCAAGTACTAAAGGATCCTTCCTACTCTCCAAAACAAGTATCTCTGCCAGTTCTTCCAATCTCCTCCTCTCCTTAAACGTGTTCCTTTCATTCCATTAATTATTCTGCCTCTTTCTTGCTTTGGTAATGCCTATCTCTCATCTGGCTCTCCCCTCAACAAATAAATGATTAACGTTTCCCCCATTATTAAGAAAATAAAACAGCATCTCCACTGATCCTGCATATTGGTGGCTCACCATTTGCTCTTCAGATCCAGTCTCCAAGGCAGGCCTGGAGAGGCTGACCTTTCTGGACTGTATCACTCAGGCTCCTTTGCACTACAGATTCTGGGTGTTCATCTGATGGGAGGCATCAGCAGGAGATTAGAGAGAGTTCTCTATCTCCTTTCTGCCTTCCACAGCCACTGAGCTTCCAGAACACCATTTCCTCCACTTGCAGAAGAGTCAGATCTACAAGTGCTAACCAGTTGCTGCTAGCTCTTCACACTTCTGTTGTCGGTTCCCTTAAATTGGTCCATACCTCCATAAAAAGTTTCTTCATTAAACTCTATTCAGTTGAACTTTTGCATAAGCCATCTGTTTCCTGCTGGGACTCTGTGATACATCTCACGCCACTCTCTAGCTCCTTTCCATTTCTTCCCAGCTGTGCTTCCTGAAAGACTAGTCTGGGCTCACTAACTGCCATTATCATCTGTCATCTACACTTCAACTAACTGTGATCTGGCTTCTGCCCCCTCATGAATCCACTAAACTGATCTGTCTACTGTGGTATTCTAGATCATTTATGATCTGGTCCTAACTACCTCCCAGCTATTCCTCCCACCATCTGCCATTAAACCATGTGCTCAAACCATAACAAATGTTTCTAGCTGTCTTGGAGGATCTTACATGGTTCCCTCCACTTGGAGAGTGCTTCTCTGCTTCAGGCAACTAATGAACCGCTAGTCATGTGCAAGCCTCAACTCAGGAAGCACCTCCTTCTGGGAATACTTACTTCCCTTACTTTCTTCAGTTCCAAGATAGCCAAATAGGAACAGCTCCAGTCTGCAGCTCCCAGCGTGATTGACGCAGAAGACGGGTGATTTCTGCATTTCCAACTAAGGTACCTGGTTCATCTCATTGGGACTGGTTGGACAGTGGGTGCAGCCCACTGAGGGTGAGCCAAAACAGAGTGGGGTATCACCTCAACTGGGAAGCACAAGGGGTCAGGGGATTTCCCTTTCCTAGCCAAGGGAAACCATGACAGACTGTATCTGGAAAATCAGGACACTCCTGCCCACATACTGCGCTTTCCCAATGGTCTTAGCAAACGGCAAGCCAAGAGATTATATCCCGCATCTGGCTCGGCAGGTCCCATGCCCACAGAGCCTTGCTCACTGCTAGTGCAGCAGTCTGAGATCAAACTGCGAGGCGGCAGCCTGGCTCGGGGAGGGGCATCCACCATTGCTGAGGCATGAGTAGGTAAACAAAGTGGCCAGGGAAGCTCTAACTGGGCGGAGCCCAACGCAGCTCAGCAAGGCCTGTTGCCTCTGTACATTCCACTTCTGGGGGCAGGGCATAGCTGAACAAAATGGAGCAGAAACTTCTGCAGACTTAAATGGCCCTGTCTGACAGCTCTGAAGAGAACAGTGGTTCTCCCAGCATGGTGTTTGAGCTCTGAGAAAAGACAGACTGCCTCCTCAAGTGGGTCCCTGACCTCCGTGTAGCCTTACTGGGAGATACCTCCCAGTAGGGGCCGACTGACACCTCATATAGGTGGGTGCCCCTCTGGGATGAAGCTTCCAGAGGAAGGATCAGGCAGCAATATTTGCTGTTCTGCAATATTTGCTGTTCTGCAGCCTCCACTGGTGATAACCAGGCCAACAGGGTCCAGAGTGGACATACAGCAAACTCCAACAGACCTGCAGCTGAGGGACCTGACTGTTAGAAGGAAAACTAACAAACAAAAAGGAATAGCATCAACATCAACAAAAAGGACATCCACACCAAAACCCCATCTGTAGGTCACCAACATCAAAGACCAAAGGTAGATAAAACCACAAAGATGGGGAGAAACCAGAGGAGAAAAGCTGAAAATTCTAAAAAACAGAGCACCTCTTCTCCTCCAAAGGATCACAGCTCCTCGCCAGCAACAGAATAAATCTGGAGGGAGACTGACTTTGACAAGCTGACAGAAGTAGGCTTCAGAAGGTCAGTAATACCAAACTTCTCCGAGCTAAAGGAGGATTTCAAACCCATCGCAAGGAAGCTAAAAACCTTGAAAAAAGATTAGATGAATGGCGAACTAGAAAAAACAGTGTAGAGAAGACCTTAAATGGCCTGACGGAGCTGAAAACCATGGCACGAGAATGACGTGACACATGCACAAGCTTCATTAGCCAATTCGATCAAGTGGAAGAAAGGGTATCAGTGATTGCAGATTGAATTAATGAAATAGAGCAAGAAGAGAAGTTTAGAGAAAAAAGAGTAAAAAGAAATGAACAAAGACTCCAACAAATATGGGACTATGTGAAAAGACCAAATCTACATTTGATTGGTGTACCTGAAAGTGACGGGCAGAATGGAACCAAGTTGGAAAACACTCTTCAGGATATTATCCAGGAGAACATCCCCAACCTAGCAAGGCAGGCCAACATTCAAATTCAGGAAATATAGAGAACACCAGAAAGATACTCTTCGAGAAGAGCAACCCCAAGACACATAATTGTCAGATTCACCAAGGTTGAAATGAAGGAAAAAATGTTAAGGGCAGCCAGAGAGAAGGTCGGGTTACCCACAAAGGGAAGCCCAACAGACTAACAGCTGATCTCTCAGCAGAAACTCCACAAGCCAGAAGAGAGTGGGGGCCAATATTCAACATTCTTAAAGAAAAGAATTTGCAGCCCAGGATTTCACAGCCAGCCAAACTAAGCTTCATAAGTGAAGGAGAAATAAAATCCTTTAAAGACAAACAAATGCTGAGAGATTTTGTCACTACCAGGCCTGCCTTACAAGAGCTCCTGAAGGAAGCACTAAACATGGGAAGGAACAACTGGTACCAGCCACTGCAAAAACATGCCAAATTGTAAAGACCATCGATGCTAGGAAGAAACTGCATCAACTAATGGGCAAAATAACCAGCTAACATCATAATGACAGGATCAAATTCACACACAACAATATTAACCTTAAATGTAAATGGGCTAGATACCCCAATTAAAAGACACAGACTGGCAAATTGGATAAAGAGTCAAGACCCATCAGTGTGCTGTATTCAGGAGACCCATCTCATGTGCAGAGACACACATAGGCTCAAAATAAAGGGATGGAGGAAGATCTAAGAGGCAAATGGAAAACCACAACAACAAAAAGCAGGGGTTGCAATCCTGGTCTCTGATAAAACAGAGTTTAAACCAACAAAGATCAAAAGAGAGGAAGGCCACTACATAATGGTAAAGGGATTAACAAGAAGAGCTAACTGTCCTAAATATATATGCACCTAATACAGGAGCACCTAGATTCATAAAGCAAGTCCTTAGAAACTTAAAAAAAAGACTTAGACTCCCACACAATAATAATGGGAGACTTTAACACCCCACTGTCAGTATTAGACAGATCAATGAGACAGAAGGTTAACAAGGATATCCAGGACTTCAACTCAGCTCTGCACCAAGCTGACCTAATAGACATCTACAGAATTCTCTACCCCAAATCAACAGAATATACATTATTCTCAGCACCACATTGCACTTATTCCAAAATTGACACACAGTTGGAAGTAAAGCACTCCTTGGCAAATGTAAAAGAACAGAAATCACAACATACTGTCTCCCAGACCACAGTGCAAACAAATTAGAACTCAGGATTAAGAAACTTACTCAAAACCACACAACTACGTGGAAACTGAACAACCTGCTCCTGAATGACTAGTGGGTAAATAACACAATGAAGGCAGAAATAAAGATGTTCTTTGTAACCAATGAGAACAAAGACACAATGTACCAGTATCTCTGGGACACATTTAAAGCAGTGCGTAGAGGGAAATTTATAGCACTAAATGCCCATAAGAGAAAGCATGAAAGACCTAAAATCAACACCCTAACATAACAATTAAAAGAACTAGAGAAGCAAGAACAAACACATTCAAAAGCTAGCAAAAGGCAAGAAATAACTAAGATCAGAGCATAACTGAAGGAGATAGAGACATAAAAAACCCTTCAAAAAATCAATAAATCCTGGAGCTGGTTTTTTGAAAGATCAACAAAATTGATAGACTGCTAGCAAGACTAATAAAGAAGAAAAGAGAGAAGAATCAAATAGAGGCAATAAAAAATGATAAAGGGGATATCACCACCAATCCCACAGAAATACAAACTATAATCAAAGAATATTATAAACACCTGTACACAAAAAAACTAGAAAATCTAGAAGAAATTGATAAATCCCTGGACACACACACCCTCCCAAGACAAAACCAGGAAGAAATTGAAAATTGAATCTCTGAATAGACCAATAACAGGCTCTGAAATTGAGGCAATAATTAATGGCCTACCAATCAAAAAAAGTTCAGGACCAGATGGATTCACAGCCAAATTCTACCAGAAGTACAAAGAGGAGCTGGTGCCATTCCTTCTGAAACTATTCCAATCAACAGAAAAACAGGGAATCCTCCCTAACTCATTTTATGAGGCCAGCATCATCCAGATACCAAAGCCTGGCAGAGACACAACAAAAAGAAAATTTTAGACCAATATCCCTGATAAACATTGATGTAAAAATCCTCAATAAAATACTGGCAAACCGAATCCAGCAGCACATCAAAAAGCTTATCCACCACAATCAAGTTGGCTTCAGCCCTGGAATGCAAGGCTGGTTCAACATACGCAAATCAATAAATGTAATCCATCACATAAACAGAACCATCGACAAAAACCAAATGATTATCTCAATAGATGCAGAAAAGGCCTTCAACAAAATTCAGGGCCCCTCATGCTAAAAACTCTCAATACACTAGGTATTTTTTTTAATACTTTAAGTTTTAGGGTACATGTGCATAACATGCAGGTTTGTTACATATGCATACATGTGCCATGTTGGTGTGCTGCACCCATTAACTCATCATTCAACATTAGGTATATCTCCTAATGCTATCCCTCCCCCCTGCCCCCACCCCACAACAGGCCCCAGTGTGTGATGTTCCCCTTCCTGTGTCCATGTATTCTCTCAATATACTAGGTATTGAGGGAACATATCTCAAAATAATAAGAGCTATTTATGACAAACTCACAGCCAATATCATACTGAATGGGCAAAAACTGGAAGCATTCCCTTGGAAAACTGGTGCAAGACAGGGATGCCTTCTCTCACCACTCCTATTCAACATAGTGTTAGAAGTTCTGGCCAGGGCAATCAGGCAAGAGAAAGAAATAAAGGGTATTCAATCAGGAAAAGAGGAAGTCAAATTGTCCCTGTTTGCAGATGGCATGATTGTATATTTAGAAAACCCCTCACGCCTGTAATCCCAGCACTTTGGGAGGCCGAGGCGGGCGGATCACGAGGTCAGGAGATCGAGACCATCCCGGCTAAAATGGTGAAACCCCGTCTCTACTAAAAATACAAAAAATTAGCCGGGCGTAGTGGCGGGCGCCTGTAGTCCCAGCTACTTGGGAGGCTGAGGCAGGAGAATGGCGTGAACCCGGGAGGCGGAGCTTGCAGTGAGCCGAGATCCCGCCACTGCACTCCAGCCTGGGCGACAGAGCGAGACTCCGTCTCAAAAAAAAAAAAAAAGAAAACCCCATTGTCTCAGCCCAAAATCTCCTTAAGCTGATAAGCAACTTCAGCAAAGTCTCAGGATACAAAATCAACGTGCAAAAATCACAGGCATTCCTACACACCATTAACAGACAAACAGACAAATCATGAGTGAACTCCCATTCACAATTGCTTCAAAGGGAATAAAATACCTAGAAATCCAACTTACAAGGGATGTGAAGGACCTCTTCAAGGAGAACTACAAACCACTGCTCAACGAAATAAAAGAGGACACAAACAAATGAAAGAACATTCCATGCTCATGGATAGGAAGAATCAATATCGTGAAAATGGCCATACTGCCCAAGGTAATTTATAGATTCAATGCCATCTCTATCAAGCTACCAATGACTTTCTTCACAGAATTGGAAAAAAACTACTTTAAAGTTCATATGGAACCAAAAAAGAGCCCACATTGCAGTCAATCCTAATCAAAAAGAACAAAGCTGGAGGCATCATGCTACCTGACTTCAAACTGTACTACAAGGCTACAGTAACCAAAACAGCATGATACTGGTACCAAAACAGAGACATAGACCAATGGAATAGAACAGAACCCTCAGAAATAACACCACACATCTACAACCATCTGACCTTTGACAAACCTGACAAAAACAAGAAATGGGGAAAGGATTTCCTATTTAATAAATGGTGCTGGGAAAACTGGGTAGTCATATGTAGAAAGCTGAAACTGGATCCCTTCCTTACACCTTATACAAAAATTAATTCAAGATGGATTAAAGATTTAAATGTATGATCTAAAACCATAAAAACCCTAGAAGAAAACCTAGGCAATACCATTCAGGACATAGGCATGGGAAAGGACTTCATGATGAAAACACCAAAAGCAACAGCAACAAAAGCCAAAATAGACAAATGAGATCTAATTAAACTAAAGAGCTTCTGCACAGCAAAAGAAGCTACCATCAGAGTGAACAGGCACCCTACAGACTGGGAGAAAATTTTTGCAATCTACCCATCTGACAAAGGGCTAATATCCAGAATCTACAAAGAACTTAAACAAACTTACAAGAAAAAAACAAACAACCCTATCGAAAAGTGGGCAAAGGATATGAACAGACACTTCTCAAAAGGAGACATTTATGCAGCCAACAGATACATAAAAAAATGCTCATCATCACTGGTCATCAGAGAAATGCAAATCAAAACCACAATGAGATACCATCTCACGCTAGTTAGAATGGCAATCATTAAAAAGTCAGGAAACAACAGATGCTGGAGAGGATGTGGAGAAATAGGAACGCTTTTACACTGTTGGTGGGACTGTAAAGTAGTTCAACCTTTGTGGAAGACAGTGTGATGATTCCTCAAGGATCTAGAGGTAGAAATACCATTTGACCCAGCGATCCTATTACTGGGTATATACCCAAAGGATTATAAATCATGCTACTATAAAGATATATGCACACTTATGTTTATTGTGACACTACTCACAATAGCAAAGACTTGGAATCAACCCAAATATCCATCAATGATAGACTGGATTAAGAAAATGTGGCACATATACACCATGGAATACTATGCAGCCATAAAAAAGGATGAGTTCATGTCCTTTGCAGCGACATGGAGGAAGCTGGAAACCATGATTCTGGGCAAACTATCACAAGGACAGAAAACCAAACACCGCATGTTCTCACTCATACTTGCGAACTGAACAATGAGAACACTTGGTCACAGGGTAGGGAATATCACACACCAGGGCCTGTCGTGGGGTCAGGTGTGGGGGGAGGGATAGCACTGGGAGAAATACCTAATGTAAATGATGGGTTGATGGGTGTAGCAGACCAGCTGTATATGTATACTTATGTAACAAGCCTGCACGTTGTGCACATGTACCCTAGAACTTAAAGTATAAAAAATATTCAGGAAAAAAATTAAAAATAACAATTCCACAGTAAAAAAATGCAAATAAATAAATAATACAGTATAACAACTATTTATGTAGCATTTACATTGTATTAGGTATTATAAGCAGCCTAGAGGTGATTTAAAGTACATGGAAGGATGTGAGTAGGTTACATGCAAATACTATGTCATTTTATAGAAGGGACTTGAGCATTGGAGGATATTGGTATCTACTAGGGGTTCCGGAACCAATCCCCTACAGATACTGAGAAACAAGTGTATCCTAGGCAGTACAACGATCATAGTAACTGCCATTACTCCTACAAAACAGTTTAAAGACAGTTTTCAAAAAGTATGTGTCAAAACGATAATAAAGTATTCTTGATATGTTTACCTTGAGTGTGCCTGACCCCCTCCCCTGGAGAATCTAAGCAACCAAGAGAAAAGACAATGCCATCTCTTTCTAAATCTCATAGAACCGATCATGCAGCCTTAAACTGCACACAACTGATTCACAGTACATGTTTTGTTGCATGAGACAATGAACAAAAATATATCCCACTCATCCAAAAATAAATTTATCTCAAAGTTTAAAAAAGACAAAGTGAAAGCCTAATGAGTAAATTTACTTTTCTTTCATGCATACCAAGCAGTTCAGATAGAAACTGACCCAACCTAACTTAGAGTATTATAAAACCATAAGTAACTATAAATAAAAATTGCAAAGATCCTTCATAAATAATAAAATATTCTCATGCTATTAAAATAAAACAAACACATGAAGACTAACCAATCATCTATTTTTATAAGTTTATCATTAGTGAGCCACCAGATTATAGACTTTTTTTAAAGATGCAATTTTAATCAACATTGACTTTATTTCCCTTTTAAATTAAGCAGGCTGTATGTGCTAGGCTCCAAATCTCTGTTTAGCTATAATAAAGAGAGTAAAATATGCACATACAAAATACGTGCATATTTAGAGATTAGAGATTCTTGCACATTGGCTTTTGTCTACCTTGGCTCACAATTTCAGAAAGCCCAGAGCAGACAGGTGCAGTGGGCTATAGACTGCTATTGCTTCTCCAAGTGTTCTGAAGAATTGTAAACGTAAACAAGTATACAAGAATAGAGAGTGACATTTTAAAGGTAACATTTGCACGTATTTTAATCCTTTATATTTAAAGAAAACAGCCGTGCCACTGCCAATGTGACTTACTACCACTTATGCAGAGTGGCTGAAATGAAACTTTCGAGCCAGATTTGATTTTCGTTTTTAGCCCACACTTGATCTCCACATGGCAGCTCTGGCCACCATTTCTGATGCTTGTTGTCTGCGGCTGCGTCTTCGCCTCAAGTTTCAAGTGGAATCCCTTTATTGAGCTCTGTTCTTTAAATTGAAATCTTAAGGAGCAGAAAATTAACAAATATTGAAATATAATAAAGATACAAATTTTTTTATTTTTATATTTTTTATATTTTTATTAGTGTAGAAAAAAATTATAAGTCCCTAAAATTCAAAGTTATTAGCCTCTCTATTCAGCATTAGGCAAAATTAAAGGAGGAACTTTTGGTCAAATAGTACCCTAAGAGTTGCTGCTATGTTTGTTCCCTCCAAAACTCACACTGAAATTTAATCCCCACTGTGACAGTATTGAGAGGTGGCGCCTTTAAGAGGTGATTGGATCATGAGGGTTCTGCTCTTATTTTTTTTTTATTTTTATTTTTTTTGAGACAGAGTCTTGCTCTGTCCCCCAGGCTGGAGTGCAGTGGTGCCATCTCGGCTCACTGCAACCTCCGCCTCCTGGGTTCATGCCATTCTCCTGCCTCAGCCTCCTGAGTAGCTGGGACTACAGGCACCTGCCACCACGCCCAGCTAATTTTTTTGTATTTTTTAGTAGAGACGGGGTTTCACCGTCTTAGCCAGGATGGTCTCGATCTCCCGACCTCATGATCTGCCTGCCTCGGCCTCCCAAAGTGCTGGGATTACAGGCATGAGCCAGGCGGGTTCTGCGCTTATGAATGGATTAATGGGTTATCATGGGAGTGAGACTGGTGGTGGCTCTATAAGAGGAGAGACCTGAGTGAGCATGTTGGCACACTTAACCCCCTTACCATGTGACCAGCAAGAAGGTCCTCACCAGATGCCACCCCTTGACCTTGGCCTTCCCAGCCTCCATGATTGTAAGAAATTACTCAGTTTCAGGTATTTTGTTATAAGCAACAGAAAATGAACTAAAAGAGTTCATTTCTTCACATGAAGAAATGATCCTTGTAAATCTTAGTTTCTTAAGAATTCAAGGTATTGAGCTAGCAGTTACTCTTCTCAGGAAGATTAAAAAAATGGTTCAGAGATTATTTTTTCTGAGGACCACAAGAGCACACAGAACAAACAGCAAAGTTAGAGAAATAGCTAGTGGGCCAAGAGCCTTATTTCAGCTTAAACTTATACAGTTTGTGATTCTCATCATAAAATATTCCTTTCTTCAGTGTTCACAGAAAAGAAGCAATACGCTCTCCAACTGCTAACTACAAGAATTTATTTAATCTCCTTGGGATATATGCTTCAACTGCAAAGCATCTTATGGCCACAAAGCTTGGAAAGCAGGTCTGTCAAAGGAAACTGGGGTTGTTCCTTTAATCTATATGGTATGTTTGCCACTAAAAAATTGAATTTATTTATCTGAGCTGTAAATGAACACACCAGCACTGTGTTTATTAATCTATCATTGTATATATGGATGGACAGATTTATTTATAAATGTATATTTATATCCATCACATATAATAACAAGCAATGAGCACTACAGGTAAGATACAGATTAAGGGCTATCAGTCCCAAGAACTACCAAAGTGCCTTCACAGACTTGGCACAGAGCAGCTTTGTGGGTGACCATATCAGGTGATTGATGTATCAGGTGAATGTTGATGATTTATTTTACAGTTGAAGGAACAAGCATATCCATGTTATTTAATAACTGTGTTACTGAATAGCTGGCCAGTCAAACATTCCACTGGGTCAAACATTCCAAGACACCTTGCTCCCAAGGCTGAGGTCTCATCTAGTATACAACATTGTTCTCTTTCCAGTAAAATTGGTTCTCACCTCCAGATTTCTTTGTTTCTAGTGATATTACCATCATAGATGTGGTCTACCAGAAGAATTTACAGTCTTCTACTTTCAAAACACACACACACATGACTTTTCTGATTATGAAAGTAATTAGTAAGTTATTGTTGACAGTTGAGAAAATTTGCCCCAACTCTATTATACCAGGGCAGTCACTGGAATAAGCCAGGCAGTTCAGAGCCAGTTTGTTCAAGCAAGAAACAAGCAGTCCAGAGCTTGTTTAAAGGCTCCATGAAGTCATGAGGCTCCTTCTGTCTTCCTGCTTTATCTCTCTTGGCTTCCATCCTCCAGGTCACCTCAGCATCCAAGGTGGCTGCTAATGTTCCAGCCATTATATTCATGTGACAGTCAGCAAGACAAAATTAACTAAAGAGAAAGTAGAGAATGTGTGCTCTCCCTCTTTTAAAGAGCCTTCTTGAAAATCCCATCTGAAGCATCTGTTTACATTTCATTTGCCAGAATTTAGTCAATGACCACAAGCTATAAAGAAGCCTGGGAAAGGGTGCTTTAACTAGGCATGTTGCCCAGGTTTCTGTCACTAAGGAAAATGGGGATAATAGATATTGAAAGCAAATTACATCATATGCTTTTTCCAATGCATAAATCAAAATAGTGTCATCAATACAGGAAAGGGAAGTAAACTGCTGCTACAACAGGAAGCTGATTTTTTTATGGCTCCTGGCTAGGCCTGGTAGCTAACATCTGTAATCCCAGCACTTTGGGAGGTCAAGGCGGAAGGACTGCATGAAGTCAGGAGTTTAAGACACCCAACCCCCAACCTGGGCAAAACCCTATCTCTATGAAAAAAGTTTAAAAATTAGCTGAGCATGGTGGTACATGCCTGTAGTTCCAGCTACTTGGGAGGGCTGAGGCAGGAGGATTACTTAAGCCTGGGAGTTTGAGGCTGTAGTGAGCTATGATCGTGCCACTGCACTCCAGCATGGGCAACAGAGCAAGATTCTTGTCTCAAAAAAAAAATAGCTCCTAATAAATTTCTTAAACTGAGTATTCCAAGATATCAAAAAATAGCTCCTAATAAAAGAAATTCCTAAAACTGAGTTTTCCAAGATATAATTCTAGAATCTTCAGTCGAGATCAAATCCAAATAAAATGGATATTTATCATTACCTTATACTAAATAAGTTGGACCCACATTATTTCCTAAACTACATTCATATGAAAAAAATAGGAAAAAGCAACTTTAACTAAGCTCTAATCTGTCCTCTCTGTCTTTCCCAGTAGAGTCTGATCACATTAAATGAAAAGGTGAATTTATTTCTATTCATGCTACTATGGGGACAAAATTATAAAAAGAAGTTTGTCAAATGTCTTAACTGATGTTCTGATTCAAAATAGCTAGAATGTTCAATTTTGGAATCCTTCATCGATTTGAAAATAGTTAAGGAATGTCATGATCATGATCCTCTATCATCTTAAAAAATGCAACAACTATAAAAACTACAGAGATTCACTGAAAGTATAAAGAAAATCTTGCCGGGCGTGGTGGATCACACCTATAATCCCAACACTTTGGGAGGCCGAGGCGGGTGGATCACGAGGTCAAGAGATCAAGACCATCCTGGTCAACATGGTGAAACCCTGTCTCTACTAAAAATACAAAAATTAGCTGGGCGTGGTGGCGCGCACCTGCGGTTCCAGCTACTCAGGAGGCTGAGGCGGGAGAGTTGCTTGAACCCGGGAGGCGAAGGTTGCAGTGAGCCAAGATCGCACCACCGTACTCCAGCCTGATGACAGAGCGAGACTCCATCTCAAAAAAAAAAAAAAAAGAAAAAGAAAAGAAAAGGAAAGAAAAAGAAAAAAGAAAATCTTACAAAATGAAGTGACTGGAACCCAGAACTGAGTTCACTTAACCATCCTGCAGTAATCACATACCACACAATAAGCACTAGGAATATGACAGTGAATGAGACATAGCCCTGCCCTCTAGAGGAACAAATAGAGGAATCAAAGAGATGAGTTATTTCAATACAATACAATACCATTATTACTGAGTGAAGAAATCCAAAAGGAGGAAGAGAATTAGCCATCTAGGTTATTAAAATAAGAGGAATCTTACAAATATTTGGAGGACAGCAAATTACCTACTGATGCTGATAAATCTCTTTTGAAAGACTGTTTTACATTAAGGTTGAGTTAAATTAGAATTATACTACTGCCTTTCATTTTCTTTTACCAAAAATGGATGATAAAACTGTAATTGAAACTGTTAATGTCCAAACCACTTGCTGATCATTCCAAATCCTCTATAATCTAGTCCTGAAAGCCTTCTCAAAATCCAACTTGTACACAATCCCAACACTCCAGACAAACTAGTTTAATTACTAACTTCTAAATGAATCACAAGTTCATGTGTTCCCTCTATTATGGACAAGTTTCCTCTACTCACCACATACAACACACACATACAGCCCATTCAGCTAAATTACTCTCTTCCTATGAACCTATTCAATACCTCTCCTCAATTGAATCTTTTCCAAATCAAAATCTCTCTTTGATCTCTTTGAGCCTTTTAACCTATGCCACTGACATCATTCCTCAGATTTCCTTTCTTATTGCAAAACTTATATTCCTGGCCAAATTTTAATCTCTTTGGGAGCAGGTATTTAGTCTTATATCTCTTTGTAATCCTCTAAGCCTAGTAGCAGATCTGTTTAATGAATATTGATACTTTCAGTAATTATCTGTCATATCCCTTTACTTTATACACAGAGGGAAGGGCAAAAACATAACCTCAGAAATGAGATGCCCACTTGAGAAATGAAGAAACAACATTAGAGTTTCCTTTCTTCCAAACACACAGAGTTGACAAAGATAAGCTTAAAACAGTCTCTTGATTTAGGAGGTATAACAATGAGTAAATAAAAGTCATTTATCAAGTGCTTCGGAATTTCTAGATAAACATTGTCAAGTTAGTAATGTATAAGATCATCATCAATCATCTTAGATGCTTAAATCATGTGGCAAAATGTAAATAAAATGCACATCCCTGAGAAACAGCCCCACTAACACATATACTTTTTAAAAACTGAGTTGGTTAAACAATCCTTGTCTATTGTCTAAAATATTATGAAGTTTTCATTTATGGTTCCTTAACACCTTATAACAAGAAAGCCATTTCTGAAAAATTTCTCCAGTCACTGAGCTTGGGCAGGGTGGTTAGTTTCATTGCTAAGCCAGTAAAAGTAAATTGATTGGTATCTTAGGAATTGATTGGAGGAGTGGTGGTAAGAAAAAGTTGACTTAGTACTTTAGCTGGTACTAAGAAGATATCTTAGTTTTGTAGACACATATAGGAGTAATTCAGCCTAGAAATCAACCCCTCTATGACCCAAGTAGAAGAGACAGGGCTACACTTCCTGACCCATACTTCATTCATTCTTTAAACATGATAAGTATCAATGTATCTGTTAGAATACCTTAGGTTACAAGTAACAGAAAAAATCCCACTCAAAATGGTTTTAAAAAGAAAACCGAGCTTTTTTATATAACAAGAAATTACCAAGATAGGAGAGTTTCCAACACTGACTGATTCAGTGGCCCACAGATGTCCTCAAGGACTCAGATTCTCTTTTTCTTACCAGGGCTAGCTTCATCCTTAAACTGGCAACAAGACAGCTGTAGTAGTTTCAAGCGTCACCTTCAGGCAAGACAGTAGCCAGACAAAATAATCACCTCTTTCAATTTTTCTTATGATTAAGAAAACTTCCCCTCACTTCTAATTGGCCAAGATAGGGTCATGCTCACCTCTAATCACTGTGAAGGAAAAGATCTCAATGATTAGCCTAGACCAGCTGTCAGCGAACTATTACTTAACTCAGCCATTCTAGAGGGACAGATAATACATAAATGAATAAGAGTGGCTGTATTACAACTTTATTTATAAGAACAGGTAGAAGGCTGGATTTAGTTTTCTGTAGTTAGCCGAATTCTAGTTTAGACTAACAGAAACTACTAGAGTTGTGTATAAAATATTTTCCCAGAAGCACATAGTAGACACATAAACAAAATTGAGGTAGAAGAAAGCAAGCTGGAAGGGCAACTGGTTTTGCTATTAATATAACGCGTTTTGCAAGCTATATGATGCAATAACAACGTAAGACCTGGCTCCCTGTTATCCTCCTGTGATTTATTTTCCTCTTTCAAGTGTTATAATAAAAATATAAAGTGACTTACCCTAGTGATCTGGAAATGGGACAAGAAGAGTGGAAGGTAAGGTTAGATTCAAGAAAAGTGATATAACAAGCGAATAAACTTGAAGGATAGGAGAGGAGTCATTAAAAGAAATTCCCTCCCCCAGGAGTTTATTTTTATAGATTACACTATTTTTTGAAGAAATATTAAGTATATATTACTAGTTAAAATTCACTGAGTACTTACTAACATGCTAGCATAGTGCCATATGATTTACATGTATTATCAAATTTAATTTCACAATTCTATAAGATATATTCTCCATGTTACAGAAGAAACACAAGTAACGTGGTCACAATGATAGTGCAGGGAAGCCAAGCCATCTGCTTCCCAGAGCCAAAACCTTAACACAATGAAGCCAGCCACTGAGCTAAATGCAAATGTGAGGGAATTGAAGGAGAATAAGAGAGAAAAGATCTTCCCCTTTGGGAAACTTACATCCTAGTTAAAGAGACAAAAAAAAATTGACAATTAAAATAACAGATTACCAAGCTATGATACAAATTGGAAACAAATTAGGGTGCTCTGAAAGAGAAAAGAAGGAGAGCTCTACTTTAAATAGGGTGCCCAGGGAAGGAGGTATTTATGATATGACCTGGAAGATGAGATGGCACCAGCCATGGTTGGGGAGGAGCTGTCAGCATAGAGGAGAAATGGACCAACAGGAGGAGAAGCCAGCCACAGAGAGAAGGAGCCCAAAGAAGAGCATTCCCGGCAGAGGGGGCAGCCACTGCAAAAGCCCAGAAAAAGAGGAATGGATATTTGAGGAACAAAATGGCAGCTAATCTGACTACAGTTTTGGGGAACAAGAAGAGTATCATGAAATGAGAAGTGGAGAGGCCAAAACATGTAAGGCCTTAGATATCTTAAAACGGAGATTGGATTTTATCCTCAGTGAAATGGGAAGCCATTAAAGAGTTTGAAGCAGGGAGATAATTTGAAATAACTCTCATTTCTTAAAAGACCACACTGGCTGCTATACAGAGAACAGAAGTGGAGGTATGAAAGTAACGACACCACTTAGGGGGTTGAAACAGTTTTCTAGGTAAGAGATGTAACTGGCATGGCCTAGGCTAGTGGATTCCAAATGTATTCTGTCTTAGGAAACCCCTTACGCCATGGCTATCACTCCTCATCTCTCCTTCCTCCCATGCCTGGCAAACACTAATCTTTTTATCCTAGATACATTCTGAAGGTAGAACAGAGAGAAGCCCAGGACCAGCACCTTAAGTCAGAAGTTTTGATTGACTAAATCCCGAAGTAGTGCCAATGTTAAGTATGAAACTAACTTCATCAAAATCCAAAGTCACAAATTTACCTGTAGGCAGTGTTTACTTTTATAAGGCTTCTAAAAATCACTTATATACTTTACATGTCCCTCTCTCTGATCCTGTCACTAATTTTTCCAAGTAGATATCTATCCCTATGTTTAAGGAAGGGGAAAAAAAGCTTAAATTTTTTGCATGTTTCATGCTTTGTGTAGATTTAGAATAAAGTATCTGGAGGATTTTTGAAAAGTTGTTATCAAACGAAAGAAGCTGGCAAGTACCCTAAATACATTTAAATAATATTCTCCCTGCTGAATGGATGGCATTCATATACAAACTTAAATGAAAGCAGATGCCCATCACAAAAAGAAGCCACTATGGTTCTCCAGAGATTCTCATATAAGTGCTAAATCTGATTTCAACTTCAAAAGAAGATATCAGAAGCTATCAGCCTCCGCCTCTGTTCATCCTCCACCTCTCATACGGAATTACCAGACCTAAAGAGCCCCAGGAACAATTTTAATGTTCAGCATTAAAACATTAGTAATATTAGATAAGCATTACTTATCCACCAATTTCTCCATACTTTAAAAAAATTTAGGCAGAAGCAATTCAACTGGCATGGGAAGATGTAGAGCCATTAATAACACCTTCACTTAGCCTGCAAAGGTGATAGGTTTTCAGATCAAGTCAAGAAATTCAGATCTTCTCCAAAACTGATTACACCCCTGAGTCTGACTCCAGAACCATCATGAGCATCCATTCCCACCATGGTCTCCGGACCAAGGGTATCTTTGGTTCTGTTCTAGATCACATGTGTTCTAGATCCCTCACAGGTTACAGAAGTATCTCAGTCAAGTGTTCTTCTAGTCAGTTGTATCACAAAGTGATTTGCCCTATACATCCTAACCTGAGTGGTTAGCTATGGTACTGAATTACTGTTTATAAAAAGCCTTTCGTATGTTTTCACATAGGAAACACCATGTATGCGATGGGCATCCCAAGAAGCAAATTAGAGGGTAGCCAGACCCACTCTCTGGGAGCTGAAAGAATTACACAACAATATGTAAAGGTAGACAAATAAAAGATTAAATTATCACTAACGGGAAGTCTAGAAAATGCATGTACATATTTATCAAAAAAAAGTACTGTTTCCTTGTATACATGGCATTGCACTTGAGGATATAAAAGAAATGTAAGTATAAACCCTACCCCTCAAGAGATCACAGATGAATACAGAAAGTTCTGAATTCATCAAGAAGGTATTCTAGTTAAACAATGGTAATATGAAAACACTCAAATTTATCTTATTATATTCTCACACAATTTGCACATACCCTTCCTTTAGCATTTAAAGTATTTTATCATCCATTAGCTCACAGTGATCTCCACTGCAAGTCTTAAAAAATGGTGAACGATTAAGAAGCATTTTCTGTATTTTTATGAAGAAAGACATGAGGTTCACCGATGTCAAGCGATTTAGCTTAATGATGGTTATAGAGTAGTGGAGCTAAAATTCAAATCCAGGGCTTCCTAACTTCTGCATCTAGTCCTGAGTTTCTCAACAGTGAAATTCTTGCATTTTGGGGCAGAGAGTTTGTTGTAGGAGGGTTGCTCCATACATTGAGGATGTTTGGCAGCATCCCTGGCCTCCACCCACAAAATACCAATAGCTGCATAAATTTCACCCCGGTCATGACAATGAAAAATGTCTTCAGACATGTCAAATGTCTGTGGAGCATCCTCCGAGTTGAGACCTATTCAACTAGTTCACTTTCAGGGTTCTGTTCAAAGTAATAGAAACTATGCATTTGCCATATATGGCAATTCTGATCAATTTTTCATAAACCAAATTTTTAAAAAATCTATTCTACCAATTCTTTTTAGAATTCCATAAATAGTTCCTTGTTTTTTTTTTTCAAAGAACCTGAGAAACTGTAATGCCTCGTATCAACAGTAACATCAAGCTATAGATATAGGAAAATGGCAATTAATAGAGTTTCCATTGATGGAGAGCTATGGAGCTTTCAAGGATTAAAACAGCCTTTTTTTCTTAAACTTATTTATATATTAGGTAAAGAAAAAAGTATCAAACTGGTTTCTTCTCCACTCCATCTCTTCCTATTTCAGGTGTTATACATATTTTATAGCTGCAGAAGGGAGGTAAAAGGAGACAAGTTACAAATTACCCAGTCAATATCACCCAAATGAAAAAAAGAAAAAAAAAGATAAATCCCCGTGCTTTCCTTGGCATTTTCTAGTGGGCTACATAATAACATCAAACATGTAATCCACTTAATTTGGGCAAGGTATTCCGTATTTTGATCTGCTAGAATTTTTTTAAAAATTAGTTTTGTTTTAATCATTCTATTATGTATTTTGCTTTGCTGTAGGAACAAAGAAACCTTTCCAAGAAAAGCCCTAGAAGGGAAATAGTAAAATTAAAAATGTAATACCCCATCAGTAATTTTTCTAGGGTAACTCTTAACTAATCTTAAGTGAAATATTCTATAAGTTATCATCTTGACAATTCAACTACAAAAATGGATTGGGTACATAAAATGCAGAGTAAAGAATAAAAATGATTTGAAGTAGGAAATTAGGTCAATTAGCAAATAGACCATTCTGCTTCTATTCACTAGAATTATGCAACAGCTTCTGGAGGCAGCATACTCAGATTTATCCATAACATAAAGTGGATAAACCCTCTTTAGGGAAAATTAAGCAATAACTAGCTTTGTCTATGGTAGAAACATTCAGTGCAGTTTCAGCCCCATATTTTACCTGTATTTTAAGAGGATGAATCTAGAGTATATTGAACAGATTCTATTCCTCCATGTGAACTCATCTGTGGCTTGAAATCATTTGATGGCATAAAGCACTAAGGATAAACTCTTTGCATTTCATAACAAAGACCCATACACATGAGATGATTCTCATGCATATTTCATCTGTTTTAAAATCAGACTAATTTCGGGTCTAAATGTCAACACCTAGAAAAGATGATGCAAGAATAAAAACAGTGCCATATGGAGCCCCCTGAATTTAACTGAAAAACACCTCCAAAGAGCCAGATTAACCTCACAGAACACACCTTACTGTCCATAACCAAAGCAAAACGCTGCATGAACTGTGGAAAGTTAAATGTGACATTTGATGACCATCCCTACAAGCCATCACACCCCTCTTTGTGAAACTATCCTGGTTAATACGCATCATTCCTCTTTCTTAGGAAAGGACATCTTTAAACACACACACACACAAAAGGAGACGTATGCAAATTAAGCCATAAGGCAAAAGTGTCACATCCAAGGTAATTGCAGTCTTCATAGCTGGCTATTTAGGAAAAGCCTTTCCCTGCTCTCAAACCATAGACTGAGACCAAGCCTTTCCTCTGGGTGGTTTTCTACATCAGAAAAGAGAAAGTTCCCAAACCCCTTTCCCAGTAAATATTAAGGTGTCATGTAAATACAATTCCTGCCAGAGATGCCTGAAGTTGTCTAGAAGAGCAGCCTGGATTTATCCTCTGGCCCAGACTCTGCGTCTGACTCAACCCTGCAATGTCACCAATTTGCTGGGGATTCTGAGCCAGGCATTTATTTTGCTGCTGCTGCTTTCATTATTCTGCCTTTGCTATTAACCTAAGCAAGTGCCAGCTCCACTCCATGTGTTGTGCTGAATATACAATATAAGACAAACCCCACATGCTGGCTTCACATCACAAGCTTCAGTTTGTTAAATACAAACACAGGAAAGGCATTATCATTTCAGTGTTTTCAATCACAAAAACAAAACATCATCTACTGACCCCTATCAAAAAGTAGCTATGTTGCTAAATTTCTGGCAAAGCTGGTGTGTCCTACAAAGAGAGCTGACCTGGAACAGTTGCACATTCTGGAGAGAAGAGAGGGTAACAGAACAGAATGAGACATTTAAATCTCAGTTCTGTCTCTGACTAGATGTATGACCTGGGAACTTTACTTCTCTGAGCTTCTTCTAAAAATGTTTCTTCATTTATAAATGGAAATATTGTAACTCAGAACTGTGGGGAAAATTAAATAAGATCATGTGTATCAGGGATAATACTGCATTGTGTATTCTTATCCTCCAAAATGAGGTTCCCTGGAAACCATCCTAACATAAAGGAAACCTTGGTCCACCCGGAAGAAGTAGAAAGCCTACTACATTAGACCTCCAGCTGATTGTGAGGAAGAAAGGAGGGAGACAAGCAAATAGTGAGACACGTGTGTTTAAATATCCCTTGGTTAAGCTAGTCCCAGAGAGAGTAGAGGTGATATTATAATGGTTGAAGGATAAGCCAAAAGTACTGTGAAAAGCTCCTGCCTAGCTTCCTGTTCAGGACTCTGGGATGAATCAGACCATTTCACCAGTCACCCCCACAATAATCCAAGAAAGCCGTGAGGTCAGTAGGAGAAAATGTCTAAACGTGCAAGCTCCAGCCTACCTGCACTTCTGTAAGGCATGGAAAATATTCAGAAATCTGAGAACAGACATGGAAACAGCTCAGTTTCTGGCTGGAGAACTTGCCAGAGGAAGTGGCATAGTGAGGGAGTCAGCCAAACCTCAAAGATCCACAACATCAAGCCAGGGTGAGGTGGAGCAAAGCCAACAAGTAGGATCTCTGAGCCCTAATAAAGCAAAGTCTTCCATTTTAGATGCTCAGAAGGGGCAATGTTGTGCTATTGGAGCCACAGAATACAAGGGCTGTTCTCATAGAATCTACAGCTTCTCTTCCCCTCCACTATGAGGTTCCCTAAGCCCTGCTCAATTCAAGTTCACCCAGATGCCTCTACAGAGAACAGCAGAGGATCATATCAAAAAGAAGAAATGTATAGCCAAGAAACCTGAGTTACCTAAATTTAAATTTGCAAAGCAGACTAAATTTATCTTTATGTTCTGAAGTTAGTCCACTGTCCCCTTTAATTCAGTGGACTAGGGGCCTTGTAGGGAGACTCAGTTATGAAAAATGAAGCTCTATTTTCCATGGACATCTGAGCTTAATGGTGTAAAATGTGATCCACCAGAGCTACAAGTCAATGCTGTTCTGCTATTGTGTCAGGTATGGCTGCAGAGTCTCATTCACAGTACTTTACATTTTTCATTAAGTATTACCAATGGTATGTCAAGGAACCCAGCCAGCTGGGCAGCAAACTTTAACTTGCCAATTAGAGATATCTCAGTCCAAACCAATAATGTTCCTAGCCACCTTCAGTTTAAATTATAGCCCAGTCCAGTTTAAAGTCACGGTACCCCTCTAGCATGGATTACACTTATGCACAGTTACTAGTTGTGGCCTGAGGAGGGGAGAAAGTGGCCTGATCTCTTTCCTCTATGCCCATGCACTGGCTCTGTTGAGGAGAGCAAGGAGAAAGCAATGGGGTAGAGGGAAGATAGGGCACAGTTGGCTTCTGCAGCAGCAGTCTCCTTCTGGTGGCCATTGCTACTTCTCCATCTGATGCCAGTGATATATAATTGTTACCATGAGAATGGTTGGCTCCCTCTATATGAGTGCTTAAATACTAAAGCCTTCTACCACTCAACTTTTCTTAGAGTAGGCAAAGGATGCTACCAGGCATCATTTCCTCCATGAAGGCACACAAGATTCTGAGAGGGGAATTTCTGTGACTCTTCTAGACCCCAGCAGGGGTAGGCAGAACACTCCCTCATCAGGCATGTGTCTCCTCACTTCATTGGGGGTAGAGTTCCCAGGGAAGCCCACCAATGCCTCCCACTCAACTACCTACTGTATCCTTAACACTGAGTACTTCAGGAAATTACAGCCCCTCACTCCCAGTCTTTCAGGATTTTGTGAAGCTTTGGCACATGTTGGGCTAGATACCCCATCCCCCAGCACTTCACTGTAGCAGAGCATGGGACACTTCTGTGAGTTGCCAGCCAACAGTAACTGCAGGTGAGAAATGAACCACACTCCTTCAAAACCTCCCATGCTACATCCTGGACTAGACATTCCCTGGCTTTAGGGCTTGATTTTGGAGAGGCAAACAGGATGAATGGCGCTCCTAAGAGGAGGAAGAAGG
This sequence comes from Homo sapiens, assembly GCF_000001405.40. Classification (NCBI taxonomy): domain Eukaryota; kingdom Metazoa; phylum Chordata; class Mammalia; order Primates; family Hominidae; genus Homo; species Homo sapiens. The sequence goes on from NC_000007.14 coordinate 87,003,003, forward strand.
TAATGACTACATCATAAATTTGCTCTCCCAGAAATTCTTCAGTCCTTAGATGGGTAGACAGGTAGAGTCACACAGGTTCTACAGGTCTGCCATCTCTTAGCAAGCCCTTCTTTATGGGATTGATAACACAAAGAGCATTTCTCTGATAAGGAAGAAATAAGATGTTAAAATAACCCTGCCCTACATTTTTACCAAGGCAAAGACAGGCTAATATTGCAGGGGTCAGCTAAACCCACACTTTTCCCAAGGCCATAATGTATATGGTACCAGCCAAGAACCCCTTTCCTTGGATCTGAGAGCTTCTGACATTATGGCTTGGGATCTGGTTTGGCTCTGTATCCCCAACAGAATCTCATGTTGAATTGTAATCCCCAGTGTTGGGGGAGGGTACTGGTAGGAGGTGATTTGATCATGGGGGCAAATTTCCCCCTTGCTATTCTCATGATAGTGAGTTCTCACAAGATCTGGTTATTTAAAAGTATGTAGCACTTCCCCCTTCGCTTTCTCTCCTGCTGGCCATGTGAAGATGTGGTTCCTTCCCCTTTGCATTCTGCCATGCTTGTAAGTTTCCTGAGACCTCCTCAGCCATGCCTCCTGGACAGCCTGTGGAACTGTGAGTCAATTAAGCCTCTTTTCTTTATAAACTACCCAGTCTCAGGTAGGTCTTTATAACAATGTGAGAACGAGCTAATACAACTTGCAAATATGGCTTCCAGAATCTCAACATTCATCAAGGAATGTAAACTTATAGCACAAGAGTGCCTGAAAGCTTATTGTGGTTCAAATGCCTTATTTTAAAATAAAGAAGCTCAGCCTCTGAGAATAAAGCATTTTCCCAACAATGCAAAGAAGCCACATGAAGTAACTTAGAAAGCAATCTCTGTCACTTTGGCAGAGTCAGACAGGAATAATGGTGTTGAGAAAATAAGCACTTCGCTTAGCTGCTGTGAGACTTGAACATGGCTCAAAGGAAGCCTGCACACTCCCAGGCTTCCCTTTTTGCTGCAGAGGTTCTTATCTACAAAGCCATCTAAAAAGTCAAGTGTGAGGTACTGGCTGTGCCATGAGCTCACTAATTAAAACATATTAACAGCATCGAGTCCTATTATCCTTTCAAAAGGGAGAGGGCCAAGGCAGGCCTGCAGGAGCCGAGAAGATAATTAAGTAAAATTGTTTCTCACAGATAAATAATGGATATGACAACAGATGCCTCTCTTTCCTGGATGGGTGGGGGACAACAAAGGGAGAATGTGCTTGTTTCCAAAATGAAGGCAAAATAGCCGCAGGCTAAAGATCAGCCCCCATTCAAACACCAGAGCAGAGAACAGGGTTGGCCTCTGTGCCCCAGTATGAAACAAAATCAATGTTTCTATACACGTTACTCATTTCATTACGTACTTTCACTTTGCCTTACAAAAGAAGCTAATACAAATTCAATACATGTCCACACACCAAACATAATGCTGCTGCCTTGTCAGCCATGTGGAGCTCCCACCACAAACTCTAAGTGTCTTTGACAGGCTGTTGTACACAAGATGCTGCAGAAAGCAACTCTTCATAGGAGTTTTCAGCCTGCCTGCCCTGTCATCTGCCATTATTCTTGCTCAGCTGTGGTGGATTAGAGATAACAGCCAACCAACACTTTTTTTCCTAACACTTACATACTATCAAGGTCACATGCTGGTGGCTACTGGAGGCACGTCATCAGCTGCACAGCTAATTACAGACAGTGCATTCTCATCATGAAGGCCATCGGACATATTAACGGAGAAGGAGGCCCTAAACTGCTATGCATAAAAGAGAAAGAACAGAGAAAAATGATCTACAACTTTAAGTATCTTTCTCTAAAGAATATCAGACCCCAAAGAAAATTGCTAACCCTGGGAAAATAAATCCTACATAGTAAGCAGTAGGAAGGAGAGCTATGACCCCTCTTTGCAACTGCCCAGAGCTACCAATAATGAGATCTCCAAGGCAGCTTCCTAATCCTTTCAAGGAGTAGGAGAAGGGTTCCTCTGTGCATATTGTATGGGCTGAGTGCAAGGTGCCCATTATGGCAAACTTTGGTCCTGTCTATGTGCTAAAAGGTCAGCTAGCAATGATTTATGAAATGTGACCACAAAAAATGAATTGTCATTAATCCTTATGGGCCCACAGTGAGACAGTTTATAATGGAAGCTCAATACGTATACACCAAACAAATGAACAAAAGGAAAAAAAGAAAGGCATGTCAATTGCTTTTACTGTATTTACTATAAGCATCATGGCACATAATGCTTTGATAAAAATGAAGCACTATTTTATGACATTAAAGTCTGTGTTTCCTCAATAGGGCTAAAAAAGAATTACCCAGGAAGCCTTCTATATTGGCAAAAGGACAATGTTGAGAGAAGAAAATGGCATATGTGCTAGATCCACACATGACATATTTCACCTAACAGCAAAAAACACAATGATTTGTCCTGGCATTTGAAGGAAAGAGTATTCAGAACACAACAGGATTTCCCTAGGTAAAAGCTGAATGTAGGTTTTTATGAATACTGCTTGAAATATAGAGTAACAGTTCAATGAAAATCAAAGCCATATTTGTAATTAAAATTATTCAGAGAACTCTCACTGATGTGGACAACTGATTTTCCAAAATGGTGCCAAAATAATTCAGTAAGGAAAGAAAAGATCTTCTCAACAAATGGTGTTGGAACAACAGAATATCCAAATGGAGAAATAAACTTCAATTCCTACTCTCATACCTAGGTACAAAGTTTAATTCAAGGTGGGTCATAGGCTTCAGTGTTAAAGTTAAAACTATAAACATTTTGAGGAAAACAAGAAACTATCTTCATGATCAAGAGTAGGAAAGATTTCTTTGACCAAATACAGAATGCAATAATTATAAAAGAAGAAAGAAAGGTAAATAAGACTTTACTGAAATTTAAAATTCCTGCTCACCAAAACATGACATTAAGAAAACAGAACTGGCAAGTCATAGACTGGAAGAAAATATTCTGAAAACATACTTCTGGCAAAGAATTTGCACTCAGAATATATTAAAAGCTTCTACAATTCAATTAAAAATTGGCTTTTTGTGATCACATTTCATAAACCACTGCTAGCTAACCTTTTAGCACATACACGGGGCTAAAATTTACCAGAATGAGTTTTAGAATTTAGAATCAGCACAGGACTTCAACAGAAACTTCCCAAAGAAAGATATACAAATGACCAATACACACATTAAAAAGTCATTTAATAATTTAATTAATCAATTACAGAAGTAATTTAATCATTGGTTGCCAGGGAAATGCAAATTAAAATCGCGATGAGGCACCACTACACATCCACTAGAATTGTCACAATAAAAAGGCCTGTTGGGGGGTGGGGGGCTAGGGGAGGGATAGCATTAGGAGAAATACCTAATGTAGATGACAGGTTGATGGGTGCAGCAAACCACTATGGCACATGTATACCTATGTAACAAACATGCACATTCTGCACATGGACCCCATAACTTAAAGTATAATTTAAAAAAGAAAGAAAGAAAGAAAAAGACTGAAAACTCAGGATGTGGACAAGGATGTGAAGCAACTAGAACACTCATCTTGCAGATAGGAATGAAAACAACTTGGAACAAGTGTTTGGTAGTTTCCTATACAGCTCAATAAACACCTATCCAATGGTCCAGCCATTCTACTCAAGATTTTACCCAAAAGATATAAAACCATAATGTCCACAAAGCAGACTTGTACAAAAATATTCACAGCCACTTATTATATTCAAAATAGCTGAAAACTAGAAACAACCCAAATGTCCATCAACAGAAAAATAGGTAAATTGTGGTACAGTTATACAAGGGAACACTGCTCAGCAATAAAAAGAAACAAACTGCTGATATGCATAACAATGTGGATGAATCTCAAAAAACATGATGTTGAGTGAAAGAAGCCAGACACACACACAAAAGTATGTACTGTATAATTCCATTTATATAAAGTTCTAAAACCAGCAAAACTAAACTGTGGTGAAAAGAGTCAGAAAAGTGTTTGCTTCTGGGCAGCAGAGTTGGAGAGAGAATTAACTGGAAAGAAAATGGAGTGTTTTGAGTGATAGAAGTACCCTGTCTTGACACAGATATGTGCATGTGTCAAAGCTGAAACTGTACACTTAACATTTGTGCATCTGATTGTATGTACACTGTACCTCAAAAAAGTAAACAAATACAGAACCCTAGTTAGTAGGTTTGCTTTCTGCAGTGGTATGGGCCAACAATTCTGAAACCAATTTCCATGTATTCTAGACTTGAGCAAATGAGTATATACACTGAGTATAACTGAAACCAGGTTTCTCATTGTTGGAGAAAGTAGTTACAAGTATAAAAAAGATAAAGACATGAATGTACACTGTGCTGTTCAAGTGGAATTAATGTTACCAGCACAAACTTGTAGTTTTTAATATGAACAGATATGGAATGAAATAAGATAAAGAGGTAGATATGCACACGTTTATATGCAGACATAAACACACATTTTCTAGATTTATCTACTTGGAAGATCTAGGGGAAAAAAGAACACTCAGTAGAACAAACATGCTTGGTTCCCAGATGTCAGTTTCTAAATATCATCTTTGGTTCAAGGAATCAGGGCTTCTTGGAGAAGAGAATAATTTGAGGGATGGGCAGGAAAAGTATATGATAAGCCTAGAACGGCTTGTGCCAAAAAGTAAAGAAGTGCTCAAAGAATGAATGAAACAGGTAAAGTAACATGGCATCTAGCTCGATGGGGCTTCCAATAGCTGAATCTAGGCCAATTTGTGCATCAAAATAAGTAATCAAAACTATTAACTAAAATAAGAATCCATCAGTGCATATTGACATAAATAAATGAGGAAGAAGGGAAAGGCTTTCTTTTCAATAGAAGGTCAATTAATATGCAGAGAAAGAATGACAAAGTTAGAAACCCATTAAAGGGTTGCCAAAACTAGTGATCGAAAGTTTAATGAGGACCGGGATATTTATACAGTCTTACTATATCACCCCACAAATTGCTAATTATTACAAAGCGAAATCAGTAATTTTATAGTGAAAGTCCTGTCATACTCAACCAAATGATAAAAAATTACCTTCACCAATAATGGAACACAATGATATCACATGCCTCCTGGTATCATGCACTGGAAAGAATACTACTGTGTTATTTGTGTCAAAAACATATAATGTCAATCTAATCGTGAAGAAACATTCCACAAACCCAACTGGACAGACATTCTACAAAATAACAGATCTATACTTTTCAGAAGTATCAACATCAAGAAAGACGTAACTGAAGAACTATTCCAGACTAAAGGCTAAAGAGACATGATAAAGAAATGCAATGTGAGATCTTAGGCTGCATCCTGGATTGGGGAGAAAATAGTTATAAAGGTCATCATTGAAACACTTTATAAAATTTGAATAGGGACTACAGACAGAAATATGCATCAAAGTAAAATGTTCTGATTTTAATCATTGTGCTATTGTTCTGTCAAAGAATGACCTTGTTCTTATGGAAAGATGTACTAAAGTATTTTTATTTACTTATTTAGAGACAAGGTTTCACCATATTGGCCAGGCTGGTCTCAAACTCCTGGCTTCAAGAGATCCACCTGCCTTGACCTCCCAAAGTGTTGGGATTACAGGCATGAGCCACTTCACCCAGCCTAGGAAATATGTACTGAATTATTTAGTGATGAAGGGCCATAATGTCTCCAAGTTTCTCTCAAATAGTTCAAACAATGAGACAGAGAGAGAGAATGAGAATAAGAAACTGGAGCAAAATGTAAACAGTGAACCTGGGTAAAGGATGTGCAGGAGTTCCTTGTACTAGCCTTGCAATTTTTCTTTGAGCTTAAAATTTTTTAATGAAAATTTCCTACAAAAAAGGAATCGGGGAAACATAAGTGAGCCACAAAAAAAGCTATTTCATAAGTGGAAAACAATACATAAGAAACAGTTGTACACTGGATTTATGACAATTTGAAGGAGAGAACATACCTGAATTCACTGACTGATGAATTTAAAAAAATTAGATCCCTAATTTTGTTAAGCAATGCTGAGCAAAAAACAAAACAACGACAACAAAAACCACCTATGAGACATGGTATGTATCTTCCTTATAGAATAGATAAGACATAAATGCAACTAACCATCAAGCAAGGTGAATTTTGATAATTACTACAAAAACCGTACAAAGTTTAAAGGGCAAAGAGCACATTTAGCTCAACCTGGGAGATCCCACAGTGGCTTGGAAGAGGAAGTAGAGATTCAATCTATGGAAAAGATTTCAATATACATAATAGAAACAGGGAATGAACCACAAAGGTGTTTTACACAGACAGAACATTAGGAAGAAGGACACTAAGAAACAAATTACAGGATTTATCACAACAACTGAAAAGAGACAGTTTGCCTTGGGAATAGAGAGTAAGAGAAAATACTTGAAAAACAGTTTGAGGCCAGATCATTGAAGAGTTTTGAATGCCAGAGGTACATAAATTTAATATAGTCAGTGGAGTACCCCAGTGTTTTGGGATTAGGAAAGGTAGTGAAATAATGGCTATTTCAAAAATAAAATCAAGTAAGAGGCTAACCCAACAGTACAGAAAAGCAGGAATAAAGATCTGCACCAAAAGGAAGCAGAAGAAGACTGGTGTTTCCAAATCCTTTCTCTGGCTTTCTCACCTCTAGCAATAAAAAGGCCCAAGGTAACCACTGGTTGTCAAGCAGGCTAATAAGTATTTAGAATGCTCACAAAGCATTTTACAAGTTCATCTTTAAAGAAAGCTATTAACACCCTCCACAGTACAACGAGGGTTATTTGTATGAATTTATTAGCTCTTCTGTTTTTCTCCAGTAAACCTAAAAAAGCTTTAAAGAACATCCTTTAAAATCTGTATATAAAATTCTTTTTATAAACACTACCTTTGAAGGTCTTTCCAGGTAAACTCATTACGAAAGAAAGAAAGAAAGAAAAAAAGTCCAAGTTCAAACCATTCTATTTCTCTAGAGGTCTCTTTTCCCAGTTTCAGAAATAAAATCTGTGCCTGTGGCTATTGTCAAACTTTACAGTGGAATTTACATTTAATATTTCCTACAAAGCTTCAGTCTACAACTGATTATAATTCTTAGAAACAAATACATTGTATTCCAATGGGAGAAAAACTAAAAGCAAAATTCTTAATACTCTCCACCCACACCAATAGTTTTGTCAGCTTTCCAGTTGGAAATCTTTGAAACTGGGATTCAAGTAGAGCTAAACTGATTTAACAGATATAAATGGAGTCAAATAAATCTCCAACGTAGGAAGTGAAAATGTACTATCAGAAGTACTACCTATGTCTTTCATCAGTGTTCATATTAACACAGAACTAAAATTATAGGCTACATAGGGGAAGACTAAGCATCCTCTAGCATTTCAGAAAAAAACAATGAATTCTGATACATTTCTATGCATTTCTACTGAAGGATCACTAAAAACTTTTAAAATGTGAGTTTCTCTAAGAATTTCTATTGTTTTTTAGAGCTGGCAGAAGAGATGACCCTTTGAGTAGAACAGAGAAGAGCCTTGTTCTGCTGCTGTCTTTACCATTTCTCTAGGGATATTATAGCACAATCTGCACAATTCACAGACAGGTACTATTATAGTTTAAAAACATAAAGCCAGTGAAAATTCTATGTTAAGACAATACCTGCACTGTTTAGGGAATAATGACAAGAAAAAAATCCTTACATGTTCAGGACAGATGCCATTTTTTTTTTCAAATAGTTTCAATCTGAGGTTGGTTGAATCCACAGATGTGCAGCCCACAGATACAGAGGAACCACTATATACATAATTTTACATTGTCCAAGTTTATATGAGTAAAATGTTACTTTTAAAATAAAGGCTTTGGAAAATAAAAAAATGTCAGCACTGTCCTGGATTAGATAAATTTTTAAAAAGAAAATATACCGACCAGGTGCAGTGGCTCACACCTGTAATCCCAGCACTTTGGGAGGCCAAGGCGGGCGGGTCATGAGGTCAAGAGATCGAGACCATCCTGGCCAACATGGTGAAACCCCGTCTCCACTAAAAATACAAAAAAATTAGCTGGGCATGGTGGCACGTGCCTGTAGTCCCAGCTACTCGGGAGGCTGAGGCAGGAGAATCGCTTGAACACGGGAAGTGGAGGTTGCAGTGAGCCAAGATGCATGGCGACAGAGCGAGACTCCATCTCAAAAAAAAAAAAAAAAAAAGAAAAGAAAAAGAAAATACACCACCACAAAACATGTTTGCAAATGAACAATTGACTTCATGCTGCATTAAACAAAGTAATAAAGGAGAGAACCTTTCCTAGACTGAATCCATGTCTGTATACCTGAAAATAGCATCCAGCTTTTTAAAACTCCTAATACTACTGAATGCTCTGGTAATATTCGGTTCTTATTGATAGTAACAAACTTTAAAATAATTCATACTTGAGTAATAATTGCAGATATTTATAACTCTTTTTAATACAAATACTCAGTACAATTTTTCCGTTTCAGTGAGTTCACAAAATTGCCAACTGGCTTAACATTGTTGTATAAAAAATACAGCCTTGTTTATCCAGCTTTTACCAACTTGGTGTCTTGGGAGCTTTCACAGAAGCACATAACAACCACCTATAATGAGAAATGTGTTGGTGGGTCACTAGGGAGTTGATCATTGAATAAGCTTTTCATATTTCTTTACTTTCTAACAATATTAAAGGTATATTTATAGGAGGGGAAGAAAGATGACAGAAACAAAAGACAGGGTCTATATGTTTTAAATATTCAGCATAACATCTGTACCAGCTATATATTATATACTTCTGAATAGAAATATAAGCTATAAATGCAAGTCACATGTGTAATTTTAAGTTTTCTAGTAGTCACATTAAAATGATTTTAAAAACAGGTAAAATTAATTTTAATAATATATTTTAACTTGATACCATTTGAACAGTAACAATATAAAAATATTAATGAGAAACTACATTCTTTTATTGTACTAAATAATCTAAATCCAATGTGTATTTTACACATATAGCACACTTCAATTTGAAATAGCCACATTTAAAGTGGTCAATATCTGGCCGGGCGTGGTGGCTCACACCTGTAATCCCAGCACTTCGGGAGGCCAAGGTGGGCAGATCACAAGGTCAGGAGATTGAGACCATCCTGGCCAACATGGTGAAACCCTGTCTCTACTAAAAATACAAAAATTAGCTGGGCATGGTGGCGCATGCCTGTAGTCCCAGCTACTCGGGAGGCTGAGCCAGGAGAATTGCTTGAACCCAGGAGGTGGAGGTTGCAGTGAGCCGAGATTGTGCCATGACACTCTAGCCTGGTGACAGAGTGAGACTCCTTCTCAAAAAGAAATTAAAAAAAAGTAGTCAATATCCACAAATGGCTACTAACCACAGTATTAGTCTAGTTCTACTCTTTCTACATTCAGTCAGTATGTTTTTATTCAATTATATCATATCTCTCCTAAGCTAGGGATCATTTTTGCATTTAGGACAGGCATTACACAACAGATGTCTGTACACAAAGTATCTGTACTTTCTGTTCACATACTTTTTAGAAGTACTTTGTTCAGTACTCTGTTCGGTACTTTTCAGAAAGTATCTGAACAGATACTTTCATTGCAACAAAAATAAAATAGGAGTTAATCTCATGTTAGCAGGGCTTAAAAGAACATTCCAACTTGAATGAACAAAGTATAACAAAAGTCATATCTTCCATGGGTCCTTTGGCAGAAGGTAGCTTTAAATCTGCAACTGTTCTAGAAGAGAAGAAAGTTCACACAGCCTGCCACTGCTGTGTGACCAGCAAAGCACTATTCTAAAATCCAAGAAATTTAATGACTAGAAAATCCTCTAAAAAATTGACCATAAAAAATGTTAAAGCTGGCCCAAATAGGTTGGAAATAAAGCACAAAATCATGCTATTGCAGTAACAAGCCATCAAATAGAACACAAAGAAGCACTTTGCAAACTTCCTCATCATTTCTGCTATTACTCTAAGATATTTATCTTGTGTTTCCAGACCTCAGTCTCCAATCTTACAAAATGAAGATAATATACCACAAGAATATATGCAAAAATGGCCAAGAAGGGTCTACTTTATATCACAGTTTATATTCAATTTCAATAGAAGAGAATGAAGCTCAAGATATTAACCCAAGCTTGCTCAATCGTTCCCAGTGATCTAGTGGCAAAAGCTCTAGCACTATAAATCATCTCATACATACATCGGGGTAAAAAATGTTAACAAATACCCTAAAATCAGAAGGGAAAATACTGTCATAAAGACAATGTATTCAAGTCCCTCATACTAAACTTGAGTTTAACTCATATCAAAAAGCTATTCTTAATCATATAATGAGCTTGTTTTCTGATTATTTTTAAAATGCCCAGGGTTTTCTTAGGTAACATGAGACAGCAGATTAGGCAAGCAAGACAGGGTGAGGTGAGTGTTAGATACCTAAAAGTTGCCACATTGAGAAGTACCAGCAGGGATGGAGTGAGGAAGGAGCAGGTGGTGAAGAAGATTATGGTGAATTATAAGGGACACTGATGTAGAGTCAAACACACCAGGAACAGCAATGACAGACTCTCAGTAAATGTTGGATTCCCTTCATAAGCATCTCCACAATGATTAGCTTACATCATCAAATTAACTTATGTTCAATTTTATTTCATTTTATTAAATAGAAAAATTTCCCTCAAAAACCAGCCAGTCGAGACTTATTATTGGTGATTCCATATTTGCAAATTTTACTTGCTAAAATTTACTTATCACCACAAAATCAATACTCAGTAATTTCCTAGTTATGTGTGAACATGCACAGTGCAGTGAAATATTGGAGTCACCTGACACACACATTCCCAGCTGAGACCAACAGGTGATGCTCTGCCTTCTTGTTTCAGCTCCCATACTGTCACTGAGTGTCCTTTTCCCAGTATATTTCGTGCCATGTTTTTCACTTTTTTTTTTTTTTTTTTGCTTTATGTTGCTTTAAAATGGTCCCAGAACATTGTACTGTCTAGAGTTCCTAGAAGGCTTTGATGTTCCTTACAGAGAAAATACATGTTAGGCAAGCTTCCTTCATGTATGAGTTACGGTGCTGTTGGCTGTGAGTTCAACATTAATGAATCAACAACATAGATTAAATAAGATCTCTTAAAATGGAAACACATGTAAAACAACATTATATTTCAATCTGCTGACAAAAATAAGACCAGAGGCTCTTGTATTTTTTTCTAGGACCAATTGTTCAGTATTGGCTAATTCAGTCTTCATGGCAACTTCACAGATCATAACTACTATGAATAATAAGAATTAACTATTTATGGTAAAAGCTTCAGTGCTTATAAAAGTGACATTTCCAGACAATTACTTAGTAATACTGGATTTTGTGAAGATGAAGCTATAATACGAAGCAGAATGTAATGGCCAAACACGGGTTTACACACAGAATTTCAAGAACACCTATGTCAACACCACATCCACTCTATCAATAAACACAATCACAATGTGAGTCACAAAAAATGTGACGCTTAAAGAAATAACTAAAAACCAATTTTGCCAGATTAAGTGAAGCAAATATGAGTGCATATTTTAAAATTTAAATTTTGATTTATACAATCAACAATTTAACATAAGAAATTTGCAAAATTTTTCTCTTACCCACTATAGAGAGCTCTTGATTCCTGTAATATAATTACACAAGAACACACTAAAACACTCCATAAAAATGAAATATTGTTCAATTCACTTCAAAAAACAACTGCTATGGGAGGAAGTTTTTGGCAATAGTAAATATGTTTATTATTATGATTGTTATGATGGTTTCACAGGTGTATGCATTTGTCCAAACACATCAAATTGTATACATTAAAGATGTGCAGTTTTCATATATAATTATATCTTTATTGATTTCATACCAGTAAAGCTGGTAGAAAAAAAAAGAAGTGGTGCGCTGCAGGAAAAAAAAAGCAACTGCTATGACTATAAATTATCACCATATAATAAATAAATTTGCACATGCTAATAGAATGACAGATTTATATTCACAAGAAATAACCATTTAGAATATTACAAAGTCTGTCTTTAATTTTTTGCAAATATTTTTGCACTATATTCAAAAAGTGCCTTTTAATTTTAATATTTTATCAAAACAATCTTTATCAATATTCTCTATCAAAATATAAGACCAAAAACAAAGCTGATAAATCTGTTGTGAACTGCAACACTGTCTAAAGGTCGTTTCTTATTGGACACAAAAATAAGTTATTGGCTTTAGACATTATCTGACACCAATTTTAATCCTAGCTCTTTCCTACTCTCCTGCCTAAAATTTATTCAGCAAATATAAACTATTTTTAATTCCTCACTAACAAAAATTATAAAACCTTTTTACTAAAAGGCTTTCTGTTTTAAGTCCTTCAAAGATGAAAAATCTGGCCAGACATGGTGGTTCACAGCTGTAATTCCAGCACTTTGGGAGCCAAGGCAGGTGGATCACATGAGGCCAGGAGCTCGAGACCAGCCTAGCCAACATGGTGAAACCCTGCCTCTACTAAAAATACAAAACATTACTTGGGCATGGTGGCGGGCACCTGTAGTCCCAGCTACTCGGGAGGCTGAGGCACGAGAATTGCTTGAACCAGCTACTCCCAGCTACTCCCAACTGCTCCCAGCTACTCAGGAGGCAGAGGTTGCAGTGAGCCAAGATCACGCCACTGCACTCCAGCCTGGGTGACAGAGCAAAAAATATATATGTTTTTCTAATGATAATGATATTCCTGTATTTCATATTTCAGATTGGGCTCTTTACACAACAAATTTTCTTAAAGTAGGTTGTCAGTTAACAGGCCAGTTTCTTAATTAAAGCACTGGAAGTAATGCAGCAGTTTCCTTTCCAGGTAACAAATCTCTTTCTAAAGGTGTGATTACCTTCACACTCTCAAGTCTTCCCTAAATTAGTGTTGTGTCCTTTTCTGTGCTTAGTGATTCCTGTGAAACTGAAACCTGAGACAAACAAATCTAAATACTTGAAAGCAAACAGAAAATTCTTAATCTTCAAGACAGAGAAATGGGTCATCATTTCTCAAAGACTTTTATAAATGAAACTGTTCTGTATGTTAGTGTTTATGTGTATAGGGATATTTTAGACTCAAAATGTATCTCTGTTTTCAGAATGAGATTATTCATTGCTGATAAAATATAAAGCTCTAGGTTAGAAAGTTTTAGGATTTACAAGTAAGGGGATGGGTAGAAATAGGGATGGACAAGACTCCATCTCAAAAAATATATATATATTTTCTAATGATAATGAATATTCCTGTATTTCATATTTCAGATTGGGCTCTTTACACAACAAATTTTCTTAAAGTAGGGTGTCAGTTAACAGTCCATTTCCAGTGCTCTTAATTAAAGCACTGGAAATAATGCAGCAGTAAGAGGATGGGTACAAGATGGGTAGAAATCACAGGAGAAAAGAGCAATGCCCCAAAAATTTACAGGTAATGTTGCAATTGCTTTTATCAATGATGTAAGAACTGACCATACTGAAGTATTTGCCACATCCAGTTCCGTAACTATACGGAGTATAGTAACTATTATATATATATATAATATATAATATAACATAACTGTAATGAACCAATCTTCTCTCTATACCTGTAATCTCGCCCAGTAACTACACAACGTGGGTTCTGAATGTCCATGGAAAAGGAAAAGGTAAAAGTTGATAACAAGGTGAGTCATCATCAGCAAACAGCAGCACCCAAAGTAAAAAGTTCTCTAAATGTCAAAACAACAGACTAAGCATGATCAAATAAAAGAAATCTCCTTTCCAAAAACCTGTCTTCAAAAAGTAACCAAAACCCAACTTTCCAACAAGAATAAAGATAGAAAACAAGTCTTTTAGATTCCTATCCTACTCATTCTCTTACATTCATTTTCCACAGTTGGAAAAATAAATTAGAGAGGAAGATGAATTATCACAGAAAAAGAAAAAAAGATAAATGCCATAATGTTGAAGACGAAATTTGTATTTGATTTTATGTATTAAATTTGAAAAGACATCCAATCCTCAGCTTTTACATTCCTGGCAATCTCATTTCTCTCTCCAAAAACTTGTAAGATTCAAAAATTAGATACACTCCATTTTGGGGGAATTTATCCAAGGAAATATCTAAAAATAAATATCTAAATACAGCAAAGATTTTACTATCACATTGTTTATTATGAACTGTAATGGCAAGAAGTAGAAAACAGTCTAAATGATCAACGATGGGGAACTGCTGAAATATATTTTGATATATCCACACAGTGGAATTCTGTACTTATTTCAAATTGTATACATCTGCCCCTGACTTGGAAAAATGCTCATAATAGATGAGTATAAAAATGAATTTTTATTAAATGCGAATGAATGCATACATATGAAAGGGGAATGAATATATGCTAAGGTATTAAGAGTACTCAGAATGCTTGGTTTGCTTATATTTCCTAATTTCTTTTATAATAAACACATATTTTTGTTTGTTTGTTTGTTTAAAAGATCTATCAGAAGTAAAACACAAAAATAGGCTGAGCGTGGTGGCTCGTGCCTGTAATCCCAACACTTTGGGAGGCTTAGGTGGGCAGAACACTTGAGCTCAGGAGTTTGTGACCAGCCTGGACAACATGGCAAGACTTCGTCTCTCCAAAAAATACAAAAATTAGCCGGGCATAATGGTGTGTACCTGTAGTCCCAGCTACTCAGAAGGCTGAGGTGGGAGGATCACTTGAGTCTGGGAGGCAGAGGTTGCAGCGACCCAGGATCTCACCACCTCATTCCAGCCTGGGTGACAGAGTGAGACTGTCTCAAAAAATAAAATAAAATAAAATAAAAGCAGATAAAGATTAATAATTGTCATTAACATCATCAGCCTAAAGTAAACAGAAGTTCCATTTCACACTGGCAGAAAAGTCACTTCTTTTGTTTTTGTTTTTTTTGAGACAGAGTCTTGCTCTGTCGCCCAGGTTGGTGCCAGGCCCAGTACAGTGGCGCAATCTCAGCTCACTGCAACCTCTGCCTCCCAGGTTTAAACGATTCTCCTGCCTCAGCCTCCCAAGTAGCTGAGATTACAGGCGCCCGCCACCATGCCCAGCTAATTTTTGTATTTTTAGTAGAGACAGGATTTCACCATCTTGGCCAGGCTGTTCTCGAACTCCTGACCTCGTGATCTACCCGCCTAGTCATCCCAAAGTGCTGTGATTACAGGCGCGAGCCACCACGCCCGGCCAGAAAAGTCACTTCTAATTCTATATTTAATGAGAGAAAAAATGCTAGATACTCACATAGGTTAGTATCAATTCATATAACTTATTTCCCTGACATGTAGGAATATTTTGCCTATTTATAATAAAGGCAAATGATTTGGATTGTCTAAGAAATGAGGCATTCTAGCTAGATGATTTTCAAAAGGTAAAAACAATTTCACCCAAAAATGAACAGGTTCAATTTCCTGTAGGTAAATGGAGTATGATGAACAAAATTTAATACTTATTTGATGAATGAGGATCTTAGTGCCCGAAAGTTCAATGCAAGTTATAAAGCTGTGGACACAGACAAATACAGAGAGAAACTACATGAATGAGTTTGGACTCAAGCATATATTGTGGAAATGGGTTCCCTGAATAAATCCCAGACATGCACTTGTTTTCTTGTGATATGTGTCTGTCTCTGAGCTTACGGTTCAAATTCAGATCCTAAACTTAGTGTACTAGTAGCCTTGAGTTAACTGTAGTTTTTTTATAAGTCACTGGAGAAAGTTATGTAGCAAAATAAATACTAAGACAAGCAGTATTCCATGTTCAAACAAGACAATATTAGAATGTTTTGCTCATTATCAAACATATACACCAATCACCTAAGGGAGACTTGGAAAAACATGTGAGCAAGGCAGAAACTTCTAGAAAAAAGCAAAAAATGACAGAGATCACTTCGTTAAGACATTTAACTTCTCTGTGACCAAAATACCATAGATAAAATAAGACAAACAGCAACATAGAAAAAAATATATTTCTAACAGATTGTCAAGATTTACATCTTCATTGTATTTTTGTATTTTTGTTTATTTATTTTTGAGACACGGTTTTGCCCTGTCACCCAGGCTGGAGTATTGTAGCACAATCGCAGCTCACTACAGCCTCAACCTCCCAGGCTTAAGCCATCTTCCTGCCTTGCCCTCCTGAGTAGCTGGGACCACAGGCATATGCTACTACACCAATTTAAGTTTTTGTATTTTTTGTAGAGACCTCATTTCAGATGTTGCCTAGGCTGGTCTTGAACTCCTGGGCTCAAGCGGTCTGCCCACCTCAGCCTCCTAGAATGCTGGGATTAAAGGAATGAGCCACGATGCCCAGCCCATTATATTTTTCAAAAATCTCTTCTGGTCATTAGGAAAAAGACAAAACTCACTAAAAGTCATTAAGCAGGCATTCACAAAAGGAAGAAAACAGTATCTGGTAATGTTTTATATAAATAGAAATTTTAAAATATGAACTGGACACTATTTTTGTTAAAGTAACAGTGATTATGAATAAAAGTATATTGGCAATCAGAAGAAGAAACAGACACTCAAATATTGCTGGTAGTATGTAAATCAGTATAACATTTCCATAGGGAAATTTGGCAGTGTGTCA
Source organism: Homo sapiens (assembly GCF_000001405.40). Classification (NCBI taxonomy): domain Eukaryota; kingdom Metazoa; phylum Chordata; class Mammalia; order Primates; family Hominidae; genus Homo; species Homo sapiens. Next base: position 87,019,741 of record NC_000007.14, read on the forward strand.
AAAGCCTTAAAAGTACACACTTATTGACAAAACATTTCTATTCCCAGGACTCTATCCCTAGAAAATAATTAAGTAGTATTCTATATAAAGGGATATTCATTGCACTTAATATAGAAGTCAAAAGCTAAACTTTTATCACTTGATATTGGTAAAATAAATTCTGTTCATTCAAAATTATGTTACACCAATATAACATATTTTTAGTTTTTCATTAAAAATTATTTTATACCAATATAGCATATACAATATTTTTAGTTTTTCATTTAAAATTATGTTATACCAATATTTTCTTATAACACATCAGAAAGTGTTCAGAAATGTTAAACAGTAAACAGTGCAAGAAAACAATGTGTACCATCATCCCAATTGCTCTTTTAAGTATATTTTTGTACACAGCTATGGGTTTTAATACATATATATGCACTTACATACACACATATGTATATGTGTGCATATTTTAAAAGACTGAAAGTACCACAGCAAAACATAAATTTGAAGTAATTGTAATTCTGTATTTTCTAAATTTTCTATCTTAAATATACAGCTTTGATATCAGAAGAAACTATTATTAATAAAAGCAAACATCTGTTCATAGCAGCACTCTTCACAACAGCCAAAAGGTGAAAAGGACCCAAGTGACCATCAATGGATGAATGTAAAACAAAGTGTAGTATATACATAAAATGAAATATTTTTCAGACATAGGAGTAAAGTACTGATATTACTATAATGTGGATAAACCTCTAAAATACTATATTGTCAAAAAAGCCAGGCTCAGAAGGTAACATATTCCAGAATTACATTTATATGTAACGTCCAGAATAGATAAATCACATAAAATGCAGATTAGTGGTTGCCAGGAGCTGCAGGGAGGAGAGAATGGAAACTGCCTTATGGTTACAGGGTTTTACTTTGGAATTATGGAGATGTTTTGGAGTGTTACAATGCACACTTTATACATATCCTAAATGCCACTGAGTTTTCACTTTTAAATGATTAATTTTATGTTAAATGAATTTAGCCTTAATAATTTTTAAATTTAAAATTTAGAAATTGTAAAGAAAAAAGTAAACATCCAGTCATCACATTCCTCTTTAAAATTTACCAAATCATTTCAATCGCTTGAGACCATTTCCTCTACCAGTAGATTCCAGGTATGCTAGTGTGTCTGTTTCTCTTGCATGTGCTACTTTTATTACAAAAATAATAAAGTCTAACATTAATATAGTAGCATGAGCTGTTCTAAAGAGTTCATATGTATTAAATATGTTTAATCCTCACAACTCTATGGGGTAGGTATTATTAATTTCTATTATGATTATCCCTACTTTACAGATTAGAACAACACAGAATAAAGTGACTAGCTAAGGATTACACAGCTAGTAAGTGATAGAACTGGGATTTAAACCCAGCCAGACTGAGTTCAACCCTCTCAACTGCTTTAACTGTTATGTTTTACTTCCTCTCAAAGAATCCATGATCTCTGTAGAAAAACTAGAAATAGAGCTTTATATGTGAAATAAAGGATGACAAGACATACATAATCTTGCCACCCAGGGATAATCACAGTTAATTTGTTGCACATTTTCCCAAATAGATACACACGCATATATACCTACACCAATGTCTTCATAAGATGTTTTGTATTCTGCCTAATATATTGTAAATCTCTTCCATGTAAATAAATATACTGCCATATCAACACATTTAATGACTCATGATATCCATATCATAAGGAAACAATATATTTAACCAGTCACCTCTTAAAAATGTGGGTTGTTTATAAATAACACTAAGATGAATAACAACCTTCTACGTATACCACTGTTTAGTTAACCAATTTACTTAAGATAATTACAGAAATAGATACAGAATACCTGGTAAGAACATGTATTTTAAAGCTCTTGATAAATATTACCCAACTGTTTCCAGACAGTCTTTAATCATTTATACTCTCACCTGTAAGTTATGAGAATACCTCTCTTTAACACATTTATTTTTCAGCATTTTCCCAGCTAATCTCAGAACAAAGTCTATCTTACAAACCTGAAGAACATTTAAATTTCTAACTTACACCTTCAACAGATACACATTCCCAAGGAGGCAAAACTATATTTGGATTGGGGGCTATTCTTTTAAATGTACAGATTAAAATGAGGCAAACAGACATCTTTACAAAGTTGAGCTTTTGCCAGCTCAGAGTGTGATATATCTCTATTTAGGAATAATTGTCTTATAAAACATCCCTGTGGAATATGATCATTTTCAAATGAGTAAATAAGGCCTCAGCAGTTGACAGCCATAGGTTAGTGAATAAACTAAACTAAAATTTATTTATTTATTTATTTTGTATTATACTTTAAGTTTTAGGGTACATGTGCACAACATGCAGGTTTGTTACATATGTATACATGTGCCATGTTGGTGTGTTGCACCAATTAACTCGTCATTTAACATTAGTTATATCTCCTAATGCTATCCCTCCCCCCTCCCCCCACCCCACAACAGGCCCCAGTGTGTGATGTTCCCCTTCCTGTGTCCATGTGTTCTCATTGTTCAAGTCCCACCTACGAGTGAGAACATGTGGTGTTTGGTTTTATTGTCCTTGCGATAGTTTGCTGAGAATGATGGTTTCCAGCTTCATCCATGTCCCTACAAAGGACATGAACTCATCATTTTTTATGGCTGCATAGTATTCCATGGTGTATATGTGCCACAATTTCTTAATCCAGTCTATCATTGTTGAACATTTGGGTTGGTTCCAAGTCTTTGCTATTGTGAGTAGTGCCCCAATAAACATGTGTGCATGTATCTTTATAGCAGCATGATTTATAATCCTTTGGGTATATACCCAGTAATGGGATGACTGGGTCAAATGGTATTTCTAGTTCTAGATCCCTGAGGAATCGCCACACTGACTTCCACAATGGTTGAACTAGTTTACAGTCCCACCAACAGTGTAAAAGTGTTCCTATTTCTCCACATCCTCTCCAGCACCTGTTGTTTCCTGACTTTTTAATGATTGCCATTCTAACTGGTGTGAGATGGTACCTCATTGTGGTTTTGATTTGCATTTCTCTGATGGCCAGTGATAATGAGCATTTTTTCATGTGTTTTTTGGCTGTATAAATGTCTTCTTTTGAGAAGTGTCTGTTCATATCCTTTGCCCACTTTTTGATGGGGTTGTTTTTTTCTTGTAAATTTGTTGGAGTTCATTGTAGATTCTGGATATTAACCCTTTGTCAGATGAGTAGATTGCAAAAATTTTCTCCCATTCTGTAAGTTGCCTGTTCACTCTGATGTTAGTTTATTTTGCTCTTTAGTTTAATTAGATCCCATTTGTCAATTTTGGCTTTTGTTGCCATTGCTTTTGGTGTTTTAGACATGAAGTCCTTGCCCATGCCTATGTCCTGAATGGTATTGCCTAGGTTTTCTTCTAGGGTTTGTATGGTTTTAGGTCTAACATTTAAGTCTTTAATCCATCTTGAATTAACTTTTGTATAAGGTGTAAGGAAAGGATCCAGTTTCAGCTTTCTACATATGGCTAGCCAGTTTTCCCAGCACCATTTATTAAATAGGGAATCCTTTCCCCATTTCTTGTTTTTGTCAGGTTTGTCAAAGATCAGATAGTTGCAGATATGCGGCATTATTTCTGAGGGCTCTGTTCTGTTCCATTGGTCTATATCTCTGTTTTGGTACCAGTACCATGCTGTTTTGGTTACTGTAGCCTTCTAGTATAGCTTGAAGTCAGGTAGTGTGATGCCTCCAGCTTTGTTCTTTTGGCTTAGAATTGACTTGGCAATGCGGGCTCTTTTTTGGTTCCATATTAACTTTAAAGTAGTTTTTTCCAGTTCTGTGAAGAAAGTGATTGGTAGCTTGATTGGGATGGCAGTGAATCTATAAATTACCTTGGGCAGTATGGCCATTTTCATGATATTGATTCTTCCTACCCATGAGCATGGAATGTTCTTCCATTTGTTTGTATCCTCTTTTATTTCATTGAGCAGTGGTTTGTAGTTCTCCTTGAAGAGGTCCTTCACATCCCTTGTAAGTTGGATTCCTAGGTATTTTATTTGCTTTGAAGCAATTGTGAATGGGAGTTTACTCATGATTTGGCTCTCTGTTTGTCTGTTGTTGGTGTATAAGAATGCTTGTGATTTTTGCACACTGATTTTGTATCCTGAGACTTTGCTGAAGTTGCTTATCAGCTTAAGGAGATTTTGGGCTGAGACGATGGGGTTTTCTAGATATACAATCATGTCATCCGCAAACAGGGACAATTTGACTTCCTCTTTGCCTAATTGAATACCCTTTATTTCCTTCTCCTGCCTGATTGCCCTGGCCAGAACTTCCAACACTATGTTGAATAGGAGTGGAGAGAGGGCATCCCTCTCTTGTGCCAGTTTTCAAAGGGAATGCTTCCAGTTTTTGCCCATTCAGTATGATATTGGCTGTGAGTTTGTCGTAGATAGCTCTCATTATTTTGAGATACGTCCCATCAATACCTAATTTATTGAGAGTTTTTAGCATGAAGCGTTGTTGAATTTTGTCAAAGGCCTTTTCTGCATCTATTGAGATAGTCATGTGGTTTTCGTCGTTGGTTCTGTTTATATGCTGGATTACGTTTATTGATTTGCATATATTGAACCAGCCTTGCATCCCAGGGATGAAGCCCACTTGATCATGGTGGATAAGCTTTTTGATGTCCTGCTGGATTCGGTTTGCCAGTATTTTATCGAGGATTTCTGCATCAATGTTCATCAGGGATATTGGTCTAAAATTCTCTTTTTTTGTTGTCTCTCTGCCAGGCTTTGGTATCAGGATGACGCTGGCCTCATAAAATGAGTTAGGGAGGATTCCCTCTTTTTCTATTGATTGGAATAGTTTCAGAAGGAATAGTACCAGCTCCTCCTTGTACCTCTGGTAGAATTCGGCTGTGAATCCATCTGGTCCTGGACTTTTTTTGGTTGGTAAGCTATAATTATCACCGATCCCACAGAAATACAAACTACCATCAGAGAATACTATAAACACCTCTACACAAATAAACTAGAAAATCTAGAAAAAAGGGATAAATTCCTTGACACATACACCCTCCCAAGACTAAACCAGGAAGAAGTTGAATCTCTGAATAGACCAATAACAGGCTCTGAAATTGAGGCAATAATAAAATTTATTTTTTAAAATAAAAAGCAAGTATCACCCATGCCTGCCTTACATCACTGACCTAAGAGTCTTTTCCTACAGAAAAAAAAAAAAAACCATAGGCTGTCATGGATGTAATTTATAAGATTATGATTCCTCCATACTGTAGGTCACCTGATAAACCAAGTCAGAATTATAGAAGGCTAAGACATTCTATGGTCCCTAAACCTTGTCTTGAGGAATACTAAGTATTTCATGCTAAATGTCTAAATTCAATTCGTTTAGATGACTAAATGAAATTGTAGAAGCAGTCATCTGTTGGCAGATTCACCAAGCCCTCTTGTTGACTATTTTCAGACAATGCTTATTTTCTAAAAACCATCAAGCTACATTCTCTGCCCAGTATGACCATATTGGACAGGAAAAATCCCCCTTCAGTCAAGAGTATCGAACAAAAAGCAAAGACCTAATTCCTATTTTATCTAAAAATATAAAACAAGAAGAAATAAAGTCATAAAATGTCAAGCTTGGAAAGGACTTTACAGATGATCTAAACCAGTCTCTTTCTTTGCCAAATGAGAAGATGGAGTCCAGCAGAAAGCAAGTTACTCAGGTCACACAATTAATGACAAGTAAAATCTTGTAACTGGGTCTCTTGACTCACAGGCCAATGCTTATCCCACCACACTCTGGTGCACACATAACCAATTGAGCATTACCTGCCAATCAATTCACTTCCAAAAAAAGTGATTAAAAATTTTTCTTCTGGATAATTAAAATTAGATTATGCTTTTCAAGCTACTGTAAATTAAGGCCAATTTTTTACATAATATTGAAGAACTATTAAGCCTCTAACATTAAATAATTTTACTAAATTTAAAACATTTCAAGTAAAATCAAATTTGAGCATAATTCTTCAAAATTCCTCAACATGTTAGACATATGTTATATTTTTGAAGGAGCTAATTAATTCAATGAAAAAAATTGTCAATTAGAAATGTTTATCAAATAGTGTAGAAATAAAGGTGTATATTTCTGGCAGGCCAAAAAAGAGAAAAACCAGCAACTGGCACAAAAGCAAACCTTAAACAAACATATTCTCCTGTTGTATTTGCTTGAATAAACCAGTCTACCAAAACACAAAATCAAGACCTACGCATATATCTACTTCCATATGCTGTTTGTATTTTTATCAGTACAGTCACTAAGAAAGCACTGAGAAAAAGATGCCTTTCCAGAATAGCTGAACATGAGAAAGTAAGGGGGAAAGCTGGAAGAGTTGTGATTTCATGGGTGCAGAGGAAGATTGAATTTAGGTTTCATTGAGCCGTGGTCATCAGTGAGATAAACTGTGAAGCCTGGACATAAACCTATCATTAATAAATTGTATGTTTAATATGGTTAGTATGGGAACTATCACTAGGTTTTATCTGTGAAGAAGCCATGGAGAATATGTTTACTATTTTCTCTAGATTAAAAAATCTAGTCTCTTGTTGAATCACTTTTTTCATGTTTAAACAACATGAAATTTTTAAGAAATTATTTAAAGTATACAAAGTTAGGAATTAAAAAAAAAAAGACTCTCTCAAGAGAGTCATTCAGTGGCCATTTTAGGGAACTGCTGAACTTTAGAATTCCCAGTTAGAAAGTAATTTGGAAAACATCCAAATTTTATTGGATATTTTATTTAACACTAATTTTTACCACAGCTGTTTTGTTCTTTTTAGATCTTGTATTCTGCCGTAAGCCTATAAAGGAGTGATAGGCCCATAAAAATACATTTTCTATTCCACAGTTAAATTTACATTATTTCTTATTGCACTAAGAACTTAGAGATAATGGGGTCTCTACAGTCATTAATTATGATCTGTATTTTACACTTTCTAAATAAAATCCATAATAAATACGATCTGTATTTTACAGTCTCCAAATAAAAGCCAACTGTTTTATGAGGATGCATCATAATGGCCTGTATCCCAATTAAAACCTCATGCTGAAAAAGAAGCAACTCTTCAGGGAGAACGGGATACCCAGAAATTAGCTGAAAACATTTACTTGGATCGTACACCTAGATATACAAATATGAGCCAATTTCTATAATATTTTTCTTGGTGCAACAACAAAATTTCTTCTAATAAACCTAATTTCTCTCTATACTAAAGGTGATATACTGTGGGGTCAGATGTTGGCCTTTATTTAGAACTAGGCTGTGCTGCCATCTTAATAAGACCAGGGAGATGGTACATATATTTAATGTAAGGTTTTTCCCAGAGAAGGCACTTTGATTTATCTCTTCTTCCCAAAGTAGACATAGTTTCCTTCTACTAGCTTGCTGGTTCTACTGTTTTAAACATGAAATTAAATGAGAAATCTAAGAAAAGTCTGACATCATATTCATTATAATTTGGCAAGTGTTCATTTTATATCAGAAAAGCCACCTCCCACCCCAAATCATTTCAAATGACACATACGACTGGATTGAGTAACTGGTAACTGTGCCTAAATATCACCCAGCAGAAAAATTTTAAGTGTCATTAGAATAAAACTTCAGAAATAAGCCTATGGGAAAGTAAAGTGTTATGGGTTGAATTGTGTCCCCAAAAAATTCACATGCTGAAGTCCTAACTCCTAGTACCTCTGAATGTAACCTTATTTGGTCCTTTGCAGAAGCAATAGACTTAAAATGAGGTTATTATGGTGAGCCAAATCCAATATGGCTGCTATCCTTATAAAAGGGAAATTTGGACAAAGAGATAAGCATAGAGTGAGGATGGATGTGAAGAGACACACAGGGAGAAGATGGCCATCCATGCCAAGGAGAGAAGCCTGGAACAGATCCTTCTGCCATAATCCTTAGAAGGAACCAAGCCTGCTGGCACCTTGATTTTGGACTTCTAGCTTGCAGAACAATAAATTTGTGTTGTGTAAGCCACCCAGTTTATGGAGCTTTGTTATAGCTGTCCCCAGAAAAGTAATACAAAAGGATATCCCCAAACTAGAAAGAGGGGGGAAAAGTCATGTGCTGTAAAGAAAATGGATGAGCTTGATCAAAATGTCTCAAATTAAAAGACTGAAAATTATAAGTATGCCTCATTTTAAGAGACTCTTAAACAAGACATCATAATAAAACAACAGCTGCTATTCTTAGAACAAAATCTTGCATTTAGAAGACATGTTGAAGTATACTTTGTTCAGCATTACTCTTACCAAGTAACTATTTTCACTTCCCCCTTCAGTTACTACCACTTTTCATCCCTGACTAGCAAAGCTCCTCAAAACAAGTGTCTGTTCTCACTGTGTTGCCTCCTTTCTTCCCTTTCCTGAACCCATTCCAATCAGGTTTTTACCTCTCTCCCTCAGTCAAAATTGCTTTTTTCAAGATAATTGAAAAGACCTTCACCTTGCTAAATAAAAACACCTGTTTCAATATTCCTCTCACTAGATCTAACAACTGTGTTTGATTTCATCCATCAACCCTCTTCTTCAACACTTTCTTTATTTGACCTCTGGGACACCATCGTCCATTGGTTCTAACTCTCCTGATGTGCCCTAGCACTTGGTCCTTGACTACTTCTTTTTAGCTAAACTTGCTCCCTAGGAGACCTTAGAAAAGCCTATCATTTCTTCCAAAATACATATATATAAATATATTTTATGTACAAAATATATAAAAAATCCAATTTCTTCTCACCATTCCACACCTAACACCTTAATCTAAGCTGCCATAATGCCTCACCCATATTTTCGTAATATCCTAACTCCTTTGTTGTTACCCACATCTCTGGCAGTCTATTTCCCACATAGCAGCTAGTTTGATCTTTTTACACATAAATCACATCAGATTACATCTGTGCTCAAAAGCCTCTAAGGCCTTCATCTCATTCAGAATAAAAGGCAAAGTCTTTCACACACCCTAAAAGGCACCATGTGATCAGCCACACTCCACCCACATGACCCCTGTGGTCTCAATTCCTGCCACGTCCCTCTCACTCTGCTCAAGCCACAGGGGGTCACTCTCCTCTGAACACTTAAAGTGCATGATCATTTTAGGGTTTTTGCATTTGCATTTGTTATTCCCTCTTTCTGGAAGATCCTTCCCCAGATGTCTCCTCTTCACTCAGGCATTATTCAAATGCTGTAACATCCAAAGCCCTTTTCTGACTTTTTAGATAGACACACATCCCTATACCCTCAGCTCCCTTATTTTTCTTCCTACATTTATCACCACTTCTCATGTATTTGTATAATGTCTATCTCTTTTTACCATTTCATAATCTCCATAAGAATGGAAACTCTCTTTTTGTTCTCTGATGTGTTCCCGGTAACTAGGCCAGGGGTAAACATAAAAGAAGGGCTGAAAAAATATTTGTTGAAAGAACAAATGGATACCACATGGCCTGGCATAGAGTAGATATTAAATAAATGGCACTTTGAAATATAGCCATTACACAAGGGATTCTTAACCCTGGCTATGCACTGGCATCTGGCTCCTGGACCCTGTCCTCAGATCCCTAAATTGGAAATAAATTTTTGGTCTGTGATTCTAACTTGCAGCCAGATTGAGAGCTACTTCACTGGACTATGAGTTCCTTAAAGAAAGGATTGTGCTTTTTCGCAATTCTTTTTATAATTTAAGGAGCCATAAATATTATTTTGGAACTTGATGGAAAACTATGCAATGGAGGTTGGATTTTAGAGTCATTTAAACAAAGGTTGTAGGTAAGACAAGCAGTTGGATAAGTAATGTAAATAATGTAACAATGGTTTTCCATAGGTGTTATGGCAGGTGATTTTCATTCTTGCTTGTTCAAATTATTCAAATGGTTTATAATAAGCATGTTTACAGAAAAATAATGAAAGAAATATGGATAAGATCACTCAGACAGGATATCTACAATGCAAAAAGACAAAAAGCAAAAACCTGGGGCAATCGAGATTTACAAAGAGGTCATAGAAGAGTAGCTAAAGAAATAAGGACATAACAATGAGTGACACAACATTACAGTATAAGAAAGCAGAAGCCTGGAAGTAGAGTCAAATGCCTCAGATGGAATAGGATGAGGATTAAAGACACCACTAATAATTAGATGATTACTAACCATGACAAGAGATTCAGGAAAATAAGTGGGATAAAAGCCTGACTCTAGTGAATTGGAAAGAGAATTGAGGAAATAAAGGTAAACAATCTGATTTTGAAGAGATCAGGAAAACAAAGCCATAGCTGAAAATTTCAGGTTAAGGATTAGCCTGCCTCTGTCATAGAGAGTGCAGAACTCACTACTATGATGCCAAGTAAGTCACATTTATTCTCCCTGTCCTGTTAGGGTGATCACCTACTGCTACAAAAGATGGATTCTAAGACGAGATAAGCCTAAATGGGACATGTCAGTCAGTCACAGTACATACCAATACCTTTTCTCTTCCTGGAACAATATAAGAAAAACATAAGCGTCCTCAAAACTTGCAAAAACACTATTAGTCTAAAAGAATGCTTATCTTGTTCTAAATGCAAACATGTTAGTCAACAGAATTCTCATCAGCTCCCACCAAAAGAAAAAAAAAGAAAGAAAGAAAAAGAAAAAATACAACTAAACCTAGCTATCTTGATGGATTTGTGATTTATGGCATTAAACTGAATTAAGTTTGGCCTAAAGCTGCCACCGTACATATTTTGAGTTTGGCATAATGGTTTCTCCATACATTATGAACTATAACCTAACTTGTGTAAACAGACTGTAATTTCATGAAAAGTAAACCCTTATAACAAGTAGCTGAGTCTCAAATCACAGTAGCTGCAGACAACCAGAGGCTGAAAGCTGCCAGATTACACCCAAAGAAGGTACATGCCAGCTGTACCAATCAAGTACTCTCTGTATGTCATTTCTTATTTTCTCGTTATATAGTCCACCAGGTTTGTAGGTGGGGGTACTCTGTTACCCCATGGTGTTGATGAAGACATACCCAAGACTGGGTAATTTATAAAGAAAAAGAGGTTTAATGGACTCACAGTTCCACATGGCTGGGGAGGCCTCACAATCATGGTGGAAGATGAAAGGCACATTTTACATGGTGGCAGACAAGAGAGAATGAGAGTCAAGTGAAAGGGGTTTCCCCTTATAAAACCATCAGATCGCATGAGACTTATTCACTACCACGAGAACAGTATGGGGAAACCACCCCCATGATTCAATTATCTCCCACCTGGTCCCTCCCACAACATGTGGGAATTATGGGAGCTACAATTCAAGATGGGATTTGGGTGGGGACACAGAAAAACCATATCACCACCTTCATCAGGAATGCTGTCTGGTTCTAGAACTTTTTTCTTGCTCAAATGTTAAATTTAACTCCTCTCAGTTTTTCTTTAACAATAGAAACATAATTTCAATTAGGAATGAATATATTTAATTGTTCATCCAACTGAACACACACAAAGACTGTTTTCATTTCCATACAGTATGTCAATGCTCATTACCATGAACTAAACAAAGTCCTCATTTTAGCCTCTGAATGAGTGGCATGAGATCCACATTTCTCACCTGCACTCCCAGAGACATGCATTCATTAATTGATAGTTAAATGATCTACAGACAGGCAAGTAAGTGAAAATATTAATAGTTCTAACAGCAGGCACATCTAATAGACTAACTGAATGGTTAGCTCCAAAAATCAAGATTTATCAGAACAGCGTTAAATACTGAATGAAACAAAGAATCACCTACAGGAATATCTCAGAATGCCAAAAATCCTTTAGTACTTACACTTACATGTTTAGACTGCTGCGGCTAAATTTTATAAAGAACTTACTGGAGTACTCACTAGTTAGTATTTAATGATCATAGATTACATTATCTTATTGGAGCTTAAGAATATCAAGTGCTATGATTACAACTATATTATGTTAAAAATAGGTATATTAAATAACAAATTGTGTATAGCCATATAGTAGACTACTACTCAGCAGAAAGGAACAAACTTGATACACACCACAATGTGAATAAACCTCAAAAATCATTATGCTAAGTGAAAGAAGACAGCCCCCCACCCAAAAAAGAGTACATGCCATACAATTCCACTTATCTAAAATTCTATAAAATGCAACTGAATCTGTAGTGACAGCAGATCAGTGGCTGCCTAGGGACAGAGTGGAGGAAGGGTTAGATTACAAAGAGAAACAGGAAACTTTTGGGGATGTTGAAAATGACTATCTTGATTATGACAATAGTTTCATGAGTGCTTACATATGTCAAAACTGATCAATTTATATACTTCAAATATATGTATCTGAGTGCACTTCAATTAAGCTTCCATAAAGATTTGTTTAAAGATTGAGGCAATGATTTAACTTCTATATAAAATGTCTGAATATCACTTTAAAGCAGCATCATTTGCTTATGAATGATGAATGAACTAATAACAAATGATTGCTATTAAGTGGGCTAATATCTGTAAAACACTTACAGCAATGCCTGAGCCATATTAACTGATAAGTCTTAAAAGAAAGAGGTGTAAGGAAGAGAACAAAAACAAAAAGATGTAAAATGACAGAATTACACATCAATTTGTCCATCAATTTTTATTCTGAATTTTCTTTGGAATATAGTTTTCCAACAACAGAAAAAGGCCATCTGTTTTTGAAGTTTTACAGATTTCTGGTTTAAGATGACATCAGACTAACAAATCTCACTCTCACCTCTTCACGTACATCCTTCACTCCCAGAAATGTACAGATAAAAACAGAGGCAGAAAATGCCCTAGGTCCAGTACCTATCATGTGCTTCTTCACATAGAAGAACCACAGACAGCTCTGTTTCTTTAAAACATTCTCCTAATCGAGAATCTAATAGACAGAATGAGATCCTCAAAGTTCATCAGCATAGCATAAAAAGGAAGTTTCTCAGACAACAGAAACTGGACTAGGAACTCTGCACAGACATGCTATCAAGACAGGAGGACCAGTGGCTACCTACACACCTTGTGTGTGAGTAAAACACAGCAGTACATAAAGCTTTCCTTGTGAAAATGTGGAATTAACATCTACCTTGGAGGAGACGAAAGATTTCTGAAACACATGAGAAAAGGATCTCTACCTTGAAAAAAAGAAATCATGTGAAAATGATTGGCTACTGGGAAAAACTGTAAATAGCTGCCTGGTACACCTAATAAGATTCGATCAATAGCCTCTAAGAATCAGTCATGGAGAGCTGTAAGCATAATAGATCAGTTCTGTGTAGGCAGAGTGGGAGGTAGTGGAGTTCAGTGGAAAGTGAGCTCTCTGGAGACAAATCTATCCCAGCTTTATGGCTCACTAGCTTTGTCATCTTTTGTAAGTTATTAATTGCCTTTGAGCTTCAGTTTCTTCATCTCTGAAAGCAGAGGCATGGACTTCTGTGAGAAAAGTGTTTCACACATTAACTACTCAATAAATGGAACTTGTTATCAAAAAAATCGAAGATAATTAACTGACAAAACGTTAGAATTAATAAGACAGCCCTGTAAGAAACTAGATACACAATTAATTTCTAAAAACCAGTGGCTTTTCAACATATCAGGGAAAAATCAATTAAAAGGTAAAGTGGTTGGCAGAAAAATGTCATGGAAAATAGTAACATAAAATAGTTCAGAATACAAAGATTGTGCTAGTGAGAAATACAGAATGCCTCAATAAATGCTAAAACAGACTGTATGTCTTTAAATGTGAAGATAATACTAAAAATATGACATTTTTTCCAAATAAATGGGCGAACTTAAGAGAATCCAAAAAAAATTTTTAACTTTTCAAAATTATTCTGAAGTTGAACTGAAAGACTAAATAAGTGAGAACAGCTGAGAATGAAAGAAAATTAAGTGCCACCATATAAAACTATATTATAAAACTCTGCAATCTGTACAAAAAAAATCAATAGTGTAGAAAATAGCTCAAAAGAAATTGAATAAATGTGCATATATATAATATAGCACATATTATATATAAAACAATAGCTTATAAATTTTTATATATCCACATACACAATAGATGGTATAGAAAACAGACCAACAGAAAAAGGATGAATTATGGATTGTTCAAAACACTATTTGTAAAAACTGGTTATTCAGGGAACAAAGTCAGAGACATATCAAGTACTTAATAAAATTCTTGAGGAATCAAAATAGGGGAGTAAGTTCATGTCATATTTTTAAATGCCAAAAAACATTACCAAACTATATGTACATAATATTACCATTTTGTAACCATATGTGTACACTGATAATGAAATACATGCAAAGGACTTTTGATATATGTAATAGAGGCAGTATAGTCTGATGGTGAAAAGTATGGGCCCTGGTGTAGCAGCTTGGATTCACAAGTAACTTAAACATGGGGAGAAGATGCGGCGGTTCAAGCTTACCAATTAGAGTTAGGGAGATGAGTGAGTTAATAAATAAAAATGCACTTAAAATTTTACCTGGCTATTGTTATTATTTATTATTCATATTACAAATACTAAGATGTTAAAAGTGGCATGCTTATTTAGTGAGATTATGGGTGTTTTTATTGCTGCATTTTTCTGGAATGCATATATTGCTTTTAACTTTAAAAGGTGACAAATGTAGAAAAAAATGAGATCATTAAAAAAAAACCTCAAGTAAATGATCTTAATATTTATCTGCTCTTTAGATAGGGAAGCACTTTCCTAGCATAACAGGCTCAGATATGTTTAAGCATCAATTATTATTTTGGTTCAAGTTATTTCCTGCTATGCATTATTTATATGCCTAAGAATTATCAAGTAGAAGTCTGCATTACATTTTCAAGGGTCAGTTCTTTCTGCTCTTAACGTTAGGAGGTAGGGTTAAACACCAAAGGGCACTGTGTTTTTACACTGTAGCATTCTTAGAATAAAGTGCTAAGTAAGACAGAATAAGAATGTGTGTGGCCAGGCGCAGTGGCTCACGACTGTAATCCAAGCACTTTGGGAGGCCAAGGCGGCTGGATCACCTAAGGTCAGGAATTCGAGACCAACCTGGCCAACATGGTGAAACCCCGTCTCTACTAAAAATACAAAATTAGCCGGACATGGTGGCGTGTGCCTGTAATCCCAGCTACTCAGGAGGCTGAGGCAGAATTGTTTGAAGCTTGAAGCAGGGAGGCAGAGGTTCCAGTGAGCCAAGATAGCACCACTACACTCCAGCCTGGACAAAAAAGAGTGAAACTCCGTCTCAAAAAAAAAAAAAAAAAATTGTGTGCTAGCTACGACTAATGCATCAAGGTCAAATATTTATCTTCTCACCAGTTACAGTAGGTATGGATATACCCCTGAGCAGTCATTGAACTGCCCCTTAAATCCAGCATAGTGAAATTGTCAAAGTTCAGTAAATTAGAACTCATGGCTCCTACACATGGAACCTAGGTTTGCAATCCATCCAAAGAAGCAGCTCTGCAATTTTCAGAGTATAAAGACAAAGCTCATGGCTTCTGCATATGTAAAACACCTTCTAAGATGAACTAAATTCTGCATCCTTTTGTCTACTACCCGCTAATCCAAATCTTGTCCTCTAAATGAGCATTATAGCAATTATAGCATTATGACTGCACTTAATATATTTGAAGCTCATGTCATGGCCCCCTCAAGTCTACTCTAAGCTAAACAACCCCATTTCCTTTGGTTAGTTTCCCGTGACGTACTTTCCAAATAACTAATCTTCCTAATTCACATCTCAAGCCAATGTCACCCTTTGTCAATATCCCTCTTCAAATATTGCATCTAAGTTGAACTAATGACCTAATATAAATGTCTACCTTCCACAAACAAGGCATTCTTCTCATATAAACAGAACTCAAGACCCTCCATCATTGCTTTTGCAGCCATATGACAGCTATGGCTTCAGAAGTACTTTTAAGTAAAATTTTCCCATTCTATGCTTGAACATCTGATTTTCAGAACCAGAAAAGAACAGTCTACATTTAAATCAATTATGTTGGATTGCCCATTATTCTAGCCTTTTGAAATCATTTTGAATCCCAATTCTGTTTTCCAACTCATTAGGAATCCTTCTCAGCTTTCTGACTTTACAAAATTTGGTTATGCCGTCTCAAAACCCAAGTATTATTTAAAATGGTAATAGTAAAACAGTAAAAGGACAGAAATTAGATATTAAGCACAAAAGTATTGCATTGGAGATGTTCTTTCAGTTTAGCATCACATACATTAATAATCTTAGTATACATTTGTTCAAATAGCCAGGAATCTGCCTAATATTCCGTCATTCATCATATACTATGCATTTTGTCAATAATGATATGACAATTCAAATGTCTCACTGTAGGCCAAGCATGGTGCCTCACACCTGCAATCCCAGTACTTTGGGAGGCTGAGGTGGGATGATTACTTGAGACCAGGAGTTCAAGACCAGCCTGGGCAACAGGGTGAAACCCTGTCTATACAAAATAATAATAATAATACAAAAATTAGCAAGGCATGGAAGCATGTGCCTGTAGTCCCAACTACTCGGGAGGCTGAGGTTGGAGGATCACTGGAGCTCTGGGAGGTCAAAACTATGTGAGCTGTTATTGTACCACTGCACTCCAGCCTGAGTGACAAGGAGACCCTATCTTTAAAAAGGGTTTGCTGAACTATTCACAATAGCAAAGTCATGGAAGCAAGCTAGGTGACCATCATTGGTGGATTAGATAAAGAAAATGTGGTACATATACCCCATGGAATACTATAGAGCCATAAAAAACAACAAAATCATGTATTTTGCATAAACATGGATGTAGCTGGAGGCTATTTTCCTAAGCAAAGTAACACTGGAACAGAAAACCAAATACCGTATGTTCTTACTTATAAATGGCAGCTAAACATTGGGTACTCATGGAATTAAAGATGGCAACAATAGACACTACAGACTATTAGAAAGGAAAGGGAAAAGCAGGGGCAAGGGTTGAAAAACTGTTGGGTACTATGGTCAGTACCTGGGTGATGGGATCATTCATATCCCAAACCTCAGCATCATACAATATGCCCAGATAACAAACGTACAAATGTACCCCAATCTAAAAGTTGAAAAATTAAAATAAGAAAACACCCTGAATATTAAAAATCACCCTGCCTATATCATACTCCAGATTTACGGGTCTCCTTCCCATCAACCTCCAGTCTGCTTCTGTGCTAATGCTAATCCTTCTCTACTGGCTGTACCTTCTCAGTTTCATCCTCAAATGCTTCTCACTCTGCTTGCTTCTTAAATGCTGTTGTTTCCCTAAGCACTCTCCTCAACACAGTGCTCTTGCTATATGCTCAGAGCCTAAGTGACCTCATCAACATCAATGGCTTCAATTACCTCTTATGTACTCATGGCTCCCAAGTTGTCTCTCAGCTGCACTCCTGTACATCCACCTGTCTTCAGGAGAGCACTGTTTGTGTGTGCCCAGGGTACTATAAACTCAGGATGTCCAATGCTGAACTCATCCTATTTCCCGCCCCCACCACCACCTCCTCCTTTTCCTTCTCTCAATTTTTTTATCTCAATAAAAGACAGCAGCATCTACTCAGACCAAAAACTTATAAGTCATGGTAGACTGAAATGTATCACTCGGTTGCAGACTCCTGAAAATAAGATGTCTTTAATAGCTGTAAAATCCATCTATTCTCTCCCTCTCCATTCATACTGTCATGTGTTTAGTTCTGTTAGTTATTTTCTCCCCGTGAGAGAGGCAAGAGTCTCCTAACTGATCTTCCTGCGTCCAATGTGATTTCCCTTTTATGTTCCTTCATTTGCCAACAGAATAATCTTTCTAATTTGATGTTAATAGCGCTTCATAGCTTGCCTCGCAAGACCTTCAGTCTCTGACACTTCTGCCACCACCACCCACGTGCCCTTCAAGTTGGCCCTTGAAATTATAATATTATTTAATTCCTCTTTGATGTTATACATGTTATTTTCTTTGACTGAGATGTGGTGGTCTCTGTGCATCCTGTAAAGCACTACTATAAATCCTTCCAAACTCAGCTGAAACATCACTTGCTCTGACACCAGAGTTTCTTTAGTCTGATTTAGTTGCCTCTTCTCTGTGCTTCTATACAGCCCTGTGAATGACTCCATCACAGCACTTAACCCATCTGTACTATCATCATAGACTATCCTATAATTTTTTCCTGTGAGATACATGCTAGATGAGCTAATAAACATATGAATGGCAACTGAAAAAGAAGTAACAGAGAATGAATAGTCATGAAATATCTAAAACACACTCTTAGAACCAAGAATACCAATCCAAGTGCAAGAATTCTTGGTCACTTTGTAGCTGCTTCCATATTTTTCTCAAACACCTGAAAGCCTTCATATATTGTAATGATTTAATAAGGTATTATGTACCAAACATTCTTTTTGGAAATTAAGATGTATTACAGTTTGATATGTTAAGGGAGGTAATTCCATATACCTTTTTAGGGACTAAATAATTGCTTTCTCTGGATATTACATATCTCAAAACACACAGATAAGAAAAAGTCTAGGGAAATATATATTATCCTTATTATACTAAAAGCTTGTATACATAACGATGCAAACACCTAAATAGGAAATCTCACAAAAAGTGAAATACAAAAAGCTAAGTGACACGAAAAATATTGACCTTCATGAGTGATTAAAGAAATGCACATGTTAGGTCACAAAATAAGTCTTAATACATTCAAAAGACTGAAACAATATCAAGCAGCTTCTCTGGCCACAGTGGAATAAAACTAGAAATTAATAATAAGAGCAATTTTGGAAACTATACAAATACATGAAAATTAAACAATATGCTCCTGAATGACCAGTGGGTCAATGAAGAAATTGAGAAGAAAATTGAAAAATTCCTTGAAACAAATGGTAATGGAAACACAACATACCAAAACTTATGGGATACAACAAAAGCAGTATTAAGAGGGAAGTTTATAGCTATAAGTGTCTACATCAAAAAAGAAAAAAAACTTTAAATAAACAATCTAATGATGTATCTTAATGAACCAGAAAAGCAAGAGCAAACCAAACCCAAAATTAATAGAAAATAATAAAAATCACAGAAATAAATGAAATGAAGAAAATACAAACGATCAATGAAACAAAAAGTTAGTTTTTTGAAAAGTTAAACAAAATTGACAAAACTTTAGCTAGACTAAGAAAAAAAGAAGATACAAATAAATAAAATCAGAAATGAAAAAGAAGACATTACAACTGATACTGCAGAAATGCAAAGGATCATTAGAGGCTACTATGAGTAACTATACGCCAACCAACTGGAAAACCTAAAAGAAGTGGACTAATTCCTAGACTCATACAACCTACCGAGACTAAACCAGGAAGAAGTCCAAAACCTGAACAGACCAATACCAATGAAATCAAAGCCACAATAAAAAGTCTCCCAGTAAAGAAAAGCCTGGGACCCAATGGCTTCACTGCTGAATCCTACCAAACATTTCAAGAAGAACTAATCTCGGTCCAACTCAAGCTATTCTGAAAACCCAAGAGGAGAGAATACTTCCAAACTCATTCTACAAGGCTAATATTACCCTGATACCAAAACCAGACAAAGACACATAATAAAAAAAACTACAGGCCAATATCTCTGACGAATACTGATGTAAAAATCCTCAACAAAATACTAGCAAAATGAATTCAACAACACATTAGAAGGATCATTCATCATGACCAAGTGAGATTTATCCCTGGGATGCAAGGATAATTCAACATACGCAAATAAATCAATGTGATACATTGGATCAACAGAATGAAGGATAAAAGCTACAAGATCATTTCAATTGATGCTGAAAAAGCATTTAATAAATTTCAACATCCCTTTATGATAAAAAAAAATTTAAAAACTAGGTATAGAAGGAACATACCGAGGGAGGAGCCAAGATGGCCGAATAGGAACAGCTCTGGTCTACAGCTCCCAGCGTGAGCGACGCAGAAGACGGGTGATTTCTGCATTTCCATCTGAGGTACCGGGTTCATCTCACTAGGGAGTGCCAGACAGAGGGCGCAGGTCAGTGGGTGCGCGCACCGTGCACGAGCCAAAGCAGGGTGAGGCATTGCCTCACTCGGGAAGCGCAAGGGGTCAGGGAGTTCCCTTTCCTAGTCAAAGAAAGGGGTGACGGACGGCACCTGGAAAATCGGGTCACTCCCACTCGAATACTGCGCTTTTCCGACGGGCTTAAAACACGGCGCACCACAAGATTATATCCCGCACCTGGCTCGGAGGGTCCTACGCCCACGGAGTCTCGCTGATTGCTAGCACAGCAGTCTGAGATCAAACTGCAAGGCGGCAGCGAGGCTGGGGGAGAGGCGCCCGCCATTGCCCAGGCTTGCTTAGGTAAACAAAGCAGCCGGAAAGCTCGAACTGGGTGGAGCCCACCACAGCTCAAGGAGGCCTGCCTGCCTCTGCAGGCTCCACCTCTGGGGGCAGGGCACAGACAAACAAAAAGACAGCAGTAACCTCTGCAGACTTAAATGTCCCTGTCTGACAGCTTTGAAGAGAGCAGTGGTTCTCCCAGCACGCAGCTGGAGATCTGAGAATGGGCAGACTGCCTCCTCAAGTGGGTCCCTGACCCCCGAGCAACCTAACTGGGAGGCACCCCCCAGCAGGGGCACACTGACACCTCACACTGCAGGGTATTCCAACAGACCTGCAGCTGAGGGTCCTGTCTGTTAGAAGGAAAACTAACAAACAGAAAGGACATCCACACCAAAAACCCATCTGTACATCACCATCATCAAAGACCAAAAGTAGATAAAACCACAAAGAGGGGAAAAAACAGAACAGAACAGCTGGAAACTCTAAAAAGCAGAGCGCCTCTCCTCCTCCAAAGGAACGCAGTTCCTCACCAGCAACGGAACAAAGCTGGATGGAGAATGACTTTGACGAGTTGAGAGAAGAAGGCTTCAGACAATCAAATTACTCTGAGCTACGGGAGGACATTCAAACCAAAGGCAAAGAAGTTGAAAACTTTGAAAAAAATTTAGAAGAATGTATAACTAGAATAACCAATACAGAGAAGTGCTTAAAGGAGCTGATGGAGCTGAAAACCAAGGCTCAAGAACTACGTGAAGAATGGAGAAGCCTCAGGAGCCGATGCGATCAACTGGAAGAAAGGGTATCAGCGATGGAAGATGAAATGAATGAAATGAAGGGAGAAGGGAAGTTTAGAGAAAAAAGAATAAAAAGAAATGAGCAAAGCCTCCAAGAAATATGGGATTATGTGAAAAGACCAAATCTATGTCTGATTGGTGTACCTGAAAGGGATGGGCAGAATGGAACCAAGTTGGAAAACACGTTGCAGGATGTTATCCAGGAGAACTTCCCCAATCTAGCAAGGCAGGCCAACGTTCAGATTCAGGAAATACAGAGAACGCCACAAAGATACTCCTCGAGAAGAGCAACTCCAAGACACATAATTGTCAGATTCACCAAAGTTGAAATGAAGGAAAAAATGTTAAGGGCAGCCAGAGAGAAAGGTCTGGTTACCCTTAAAGGGAAGCCCATCAGACTAACAGCGGATCTCTCGGCATAAACCCTACGAGCCAGAAGAGAGTGGGGGCCAATATTCAACATTCTTAAAGAAAAGAATTTTCAACCCAGAATTTCATATCCAGCCAAACTACTTCATAAGCGAAGGAGAAATAAAATACTTTACAGACAAGCAAATGCTGAGAGATTTTGTAACCACCAGGCCTGCCCTAAAAGAGCTCCTGAAGGAAGCACTAAATATGAAAAGGAACAACTGGTACCAGCCGCTGCAAAATCATGCCAAAATGTAAAGACCATCGAGACTAGGAAGAAACTGCATCAACTAACGAGCAAAATAACCAGCTAACATCATCATGACAGGATCAAATTCACACATAACAATATTAACTTTAAACGTAAATGGACTAAATGCTCTAATTAAAAGACACAGACTGGCAAACTGGATAAAGAGTCAAGACCCATCAGTGTGCTGTATTCAGGAAACCCATCTCACGTGCAGAGACACACATAGGCTCAAAATAAAAGGATGGAGGAAGATCTACCAAGCAAATGGAAGACAAAAATGGCAGGGGTTGCAATCCTAGTCTCTGATAAAACAGACTTTAAACCAACAAAGATCAAAAGAGACAAAGAAGGCCATTACATAATGGTAAAGGGATCAATTCAACAAGAAGAGCTAACTATCCTAAATATATATGCACCCAATACAGGAGCACCAAGATTCATAAAGCAAGTCCTGAGTGACCTACAAAGAGACTTAGACTCCCACACATTAATAATGGGAGACTTTAACACCCCACTGTCAACATTAGACAGATCAATGAGACAGAAAGTCAACAAGGATACCCAGGAATTGAACTCAGCTCTGCACCAAGTGGACCTAATAGACATCTACAGAACTCTCCACCCCAAGTCAACAGAATATACATTTTTTTCAGCACCACACCACACCTATTCCAAAATTGACCACATACTTGGAAGTAAAGCTCTCCTCAGCAAATGTAAAAGAACAGAAATTATAACAAACTATCTCTCAGACCACAGTGCAATCAAACTAGAACTCAGGATGAGAATCTCACTCAAAACCGCTCAACTACATGGAAATTGAACAACCTGCTCCTGAATGACTACTGGGTACATAACGAAATGAAGGCAGAAATAAAGATGTTCTTTGAAACCAACGAGAACAAAGACACAACATACCAGAATCTCTGGGATGCATTCAAAGCAGTGTGTAGAGGGAAATTTACAGCACTAAATGCCCACAAGAGAAAGCAGGAAAGATCCAAAATTGGCACCCTAACATCACAATTAAAACAACTAGAAAAGCAAGAGCAAACACATTGAAAAGCTAGCAGAAGGCAAGAAATAACTAAAATCAGAGCAGAACTGAAGGAAATAGAGACACAAAAAACCCTTCAAAAAATTAATGAATCCAGGAGCTGGTTTTTTGAAAGGATCAACAAAATTGAATGACCACTAGAAAGACTAATAAAGACAAAAAGAGAGAGGAATCAAATAGACGCAATAAAAAATGATAAAGGGGATATCACCACCGATCCCACAGAAATACAAACTACCATCAGTGAATACTACAAACACCTCTACACAAATAAACTAGAAAATCTAGAAGAAATGGATAAATTCCTTGACACATACACTCTCCCAACACTAAACCAGGAAGAAGTTGAATCTCTGAATAGACCAATAACAGGAGCTGAAATTGTGGCAATAATCAATAGCTTACCAACGAAAAAGAGTCCAGGACCAGATGGATTCACAGCCGAATTCTACCAGAGGTACAAGGAGGAACTGGTACCATTCCTTCTGAAACTATTCCAATCAATAGAAAAAGAGGGAATCCTCCCTAACTCATTTTATGAGGCCAGCATCATTCTGATACCAAAGTCAGGCAGAGACACAACAAAAAAAGAGAATTTTAGACCAATATCCTTGATGAACATTGATGCAAAAATCCTCAATAAAATACTGGCAAACCGAATCCAGCAGCACATCAAAAAGCTTATCCACCATGATCAAGTGGGCTTCATTCCTGGGATGCAAGGCTGGTTCAATATACGCAAATCAATAAATATAATCCAGCATATAAACAGAGCCAAAGACAAAAACCACATGATTATCTCAATAGATGCAGAAAAAGCCTTTGACAAAATTCAACAACCCTTCATGCTAAAAACTCTCAATAAATTAGGTATTGATGGGACGTATTTCAAAATAATAAGAGCTATCTATGACAAACCCACAGCCAATATCATACTGAATGGGCAAAAACTGGAAGCATTCCCTTTGAAAACTGGCACAAGACAGGGATGCCCTCTCTCCACTCCTATTCAACATAGTGCTGGAAGTTCTGGCCAGGGCAATCAGGCAGGAGAAGGAAATAAAGGGTATTCAATTAGGAAAAGAGGAAGTCAAATTGTCCCTGTTTGCAGACGACATGACTGTATATCTAGAAAACCCCATTGTCTCAGCCCAAAATCTCCTTAAGCTGATAAGCAACTTCAGCGAAGTCTCAGGATACAAAATCAGTGTACAAAAATCACAAGCATTCTTATACACCAACAACAGACAGAGAGCCAAATCATGAGTGAACTCCCATTCACAATTGCTTCAAAGAGAATAAAATACCTAGGAATCCAACTTACAAGGGATGTGAAGGACCTCTTCAAGGAGAACTACAAACCACTGCTCAAGGAAATAAAAGAGGATACAAACAAATGGAAGAACATTCCATGCTCATGGGTAGGAAGAATCAATATCGTGAAAATGGCCATACTGCCCAAGGCAATTTACAGATTCAATGCCATCCCCATCAAGCTACCAATGACTTTCTTCACAGAATTGGAAAAAACTACTTTAAAGTTCATATGGAACCAAAAAAGAGCCCGCATCGCCAAGTCAATCCTAAGCCAAAAGAACAAAGCTGGAGGCATCACACTACCTGACTTCAAACTATACTACAAGGCTACAGTAACCAAAACAGCATGGTACTGGTACCAAAACAGAGATATAGATCAATGGAACAGAACAGAGCCCTCAGAAATAACGCCGCATATCTACAACTATCTGATCTTTGACAAACCTGAGAAAAACAAGCAATGGGGAAAGGATTCCCTATTTAATAAATGGTGCTGGGAAAACTGGCTAGCCATATGTAGAAAGCTGAAACTGGATCCCTTCCTTACACCTTATACAAAAATCAATTCAAGATGGATTAAAGACTTAAATGTTGGACCTAACACCATAAAAACCCTAGAAGAAAACCTAGGCATTACCATTCAGGACATAGGCACGGGCAAGGACTTCATGTCTAAAACACCAAAAGCAATGGCAACAAAAGCCAAAATTGACAAACGGGATCTAATTAAACTAAACAGCTTCTGCACAGCAAAAGAAACTACCATCAGAGTGAACAGGCAACCTACAAAATGGGAGAAAATTTTCACAACCTACTCATCTGACAAAGGGCTAATATCCAGAATCTACAATGAACTCAAACAAATCTACAAGAAAAAAACAAACAACCCCATCAAAAAGTGGGCGAAGGACATGAACAGACACTTCTCAAAAGAACACATTTATGCAGCCAAAAAACACATGAAAAAATGCTCACCATCACTGGCCATCAGAGAAATGCAAATCAAAACCACAATGAGATACCATCTCACACCAGTTAGAATGGCAATCATTAAAAAGTCAGGAAACAACAGGTGCTGGAGAGGATGTGGAGAAATAGGAACACTTTTACACTGTTGGTGGGACTGTAAACTAGTTCAACCATTGTGGAAGTCAGTGTGGCGATTCCTCAGGGATCTAGAACTAGAAATACCATTTGACCCAGCCATCCCATTACTGGGTATATACCCAAAGGACTATAAATCATGCTGCTATAAAGACACATGCACACGTATGTTTATTGCGGCATTATTGACAATAGCAAAGACTTGGAACCAACCCAAATGCCCAACAATGATAGACTGGATTAAGAAAATGTGGCACATATACACCATGGAATACTATGCAGCCATTAAAAATGATGAGTTCGTGTCCTTTGTAGGGACATGGATGAAATTGGAAATCATCATTCTCAGTAAACTATCGCAAGAACAAAAAACCAAACACCACATATTCTCACTCATAGGTGGGAATTGAACAGTGAGATCACATGGACACAGGAAGGGGAATATCACACTCTGGGGGCTGTTGTGGGGTGGGGGGAGGAGGGAGGGATAGCATTGGGAGATATACCTAATGCTAGATGACGAGTTAGTGGGTGCAGCGCACCAGCATGGCACATGTATACATATGTAACTAACCTGCACAATGTGCACATGTACCCTAAAACTTAAAGTATAATAAAAAATAAATAAATAAAAAATATATATAAAAAAAGGAACATACCTCAACGTAATAAAAGCCATATAAAACAGGTCCACAGCTAGTATCATACCAAATGGGGAAAAACTGAAAGCCTTTCCTCTAAGATCTTGAACACAACAAGAATGCCCACTGTCACCACTGTTATTCACCATAGTACTGGAAATCCTAGATAGAGCAATCAGATAAGAAAAAGAAAAAAAGGGCATCCAAATTGGAATAGAAGAAGTCAAGTTATCCTTGTTTGCAGATGACATATCTTATATTGGAAAAACCTAAAGACTCCACCAAAAAACTATTAGGACTGATAAAAAAAATTCAACAAGGTTGCAGGATACACAAATCAACATACAAAAATCAGTGGCATTTCTATATGTCAACAGTGAACACTCCAAAACAGAAATCAAAAAAAGTAATCTCATTTACAATAGCCATGAATAAAATACCTAGGAATCAACTTAACCAAAGAAGTGAAAAATCTCTATAATGAGAACTATAGAACCCTGATGAGAGAAATTCAAGAGGCCACCAAAAAATGGGAAAATATTCCATGTTTATGAATTGGAAGAATATTGTTTAAATGTCCATACTGCCCAAAGCAATCTACAGATTTAATGCAATCCCTATCAAAGTACCTACGATATTCTTCAAAGAAATAGAAAAACAATACTAAAATTTATATGAAACCACAAAAGACCCCGAATAGCCAAAGATATCTGATACAGTTTGGCTCTGTGTCCCCACTCGAATCTCATTTCAAATTATAATCCCCATGTGTCGACGGAGGGAACTGTAGTCCCCACATGTCAAGGGAGGGAGGTGATTTGATCTTCAGAGCAGTTTCCCCCACCCCATTCTCGTGATAGTGAGTGAATTCTCATGAGATCTGATGATGTCATAAGTCTTTGGAAGTTCCTCCTTCACTCTTCTCTCTCCTGCTGCCTTGTGAAGGTATGTGCTTCCCCTTCACCTTCTGCCATGATTGTTAAGTTTCCTGAGGCCTCTGCAGCCATGTGGAGCTGTGAGTCAATTAAACCTCTTTCCTTTATAAATTACCCAGTCTTGGGCAGTCCTTTATATCAATGTGAAAAGAACTGATACACTATCCTAAGCAGAAAGAACAAAACTGAAGGAATCAAATTACCAGACTTCAAATTATACTACAAAGCTATAGTAACCAAAATAGCATGATACTGTCATAAAAACAGACACATAGACCAATGGGAACAGAATAGAGAATCCAGAAACAAATCCACACACCTAGAGTGAACTCATTTTTGACAAAGGTACCAAGAATATACACTGGGGAAAGGACAGTCTCTTCAATAAATGATGCTGGAAAAACTAGACATCCATATGCACAAGAATAAAACTGACCTTGATCTCCCACTGTATACAAAAATCAAATCAAAATGGATTAAAACTTAAATCGAAGACTTCAAACTAAGAAACTACTAAAGGACAACATTGGGGAAAATCTCCAGGATATTGGTCTGGGCAAAAATTTCTTGAGCAATACCACAGAAGCACAGACAACCAAAGCAAAAATAGACAAATGGGATTACACCTGGTTAAAAAGCTTCTGCATAGCAAAGGAAACAATAAACAAAGTGAAGAGATAACCTACAGAATGGGAGAAAGTATTTGCATCTGACAAGGGATTACTAACCAGAATATATAAGGAGCTCAAACAACTCTGTAGGAAAAAAATCTAATAATCTAGTCAAAAAATGGGCAAAGGATTTCAATAGATATTTCTCAAAAGAAGACATGCATGTGGCAAACAGGCATATGAAAAGGTGCTCAATATCACCAGTCATTAGAGAAATGCAAATCAAAACTACAATATCATCTCACCCCAGTTAAAATGACTATCCAAAAGACAGGCAATAACAAATGCTGGTGAGAATGTAGAGAAAAGGGAGTACTTCTACACTGTTGATGGGAATGTAAATTAGTGCAACCACTGTGGAGAAAAGTATGATGTTTCCTCACAAAACTAAAAATAGAGCTACCACATAAACCAGCAATCCCACTGCTGGTTATGGACTCAAAAGAAAGGAAATCAGTATATCAAAGAGATATCTGCATTGTGACGTTTGTTGCACAACTGTTCACAATAGCTAAGATTTGGAAACAACCTAAGTGTCCATCAACAAATGAATGGATAAAGAAAATGTGGTACGGCTGGGTGCGGTGGCTCATGCCTGTAATCCCAGAACTTTGGGAGGCTGAGGTGGGCGGATCACAAGGTCAAGAGATCAAGACCATCCTGGCCAACGGGGTGAAACCCAATCTCTACTAAAAATACAAAAATTAGCTGGGCATGGTGGTGAGCACCTGTTGTCCCAGCTACTCGGGAAGCTGAGGCAGGAGAATCGCTTGAACCTGGGAGGCGGAGGTTGCAGTGAGCCGAGATTGCACCACTGCACTCCAGCCTGGCGACAGAGTGAGACTTCATCTAGAAAAAAAAAAAAAAGAAAATGTGGTATGTATACCCAATGGAGTACTATTCAGACATAAAAAAAGAATGAGATTCTGTCATTTGCAACAACATGGATAGAACTGGAGGTAATTGTGTTAAGTGAAATAAGCTAGGCACAGAAAGACACACATCACACGTTCTCATTTGTTGATCTAAAAATCAAAACAAGTGAACTCATAGACAGAGAGATTAGAAGAACAGTTACCAGAGTCTGGGAAAGGTAGTGTGGGGGTTGGAGAGGGAGGTGTGGATAATTAATTGGTACAAAAAAATAGAAAAAATAAATAAGTCCTATTATTTGATACCACAACAGTGTGACTATAGCAAATAGTAAGTTAATTGTACATTTTTAAATAACTGAAGGAGTGTAACTTAATTGTAACACAAAGGATAAACGCTTGAGGGGACAGATAACTCATTCTCCATGATGTGATTATTTCACATTGCATGCCTGTATCAAAACAATCTCGTGTACCACATATATATCTACTATGTACCCACAAAAGTTAAAAATTAAAAAATGTTTAAATGTCAATTGTCCCAATGAAATAGCATTTTTACCATCAAATTAGTAATGATCGTAACAGTTTTCAGTGTTGTCCAGAGTATACAGTTTATGTCCTTCAATCTAACTTTTCTGCTACAAGTAATCATCTCAATTAATTAAAAATCCAGACACTGTTTTGCATTGTTTTTGATCATAACAAACATTGATTATAACACTGTTTTGATTATACAACAGAAAATTTAAAACAGCCTATGTGCCCAAAATTAAATTTACACATTCATTCAACAAGCATTTATTGAACATCTACTAAGTGCCAGGCACTCTTCAATGTGCTAGGGATATAGTAGTGTCTTGTTATCTATATGAAGCTTACAATTTATTGAGGGAATGTGAAGTCATACAAACCAAATAAATAATTAAAATATACATTATTATGGATGCTAAAAGGACTATAGAGAAAAACAAAAGCATGAAATGTAGATTGAGAGGAAGGGATTGAAATTTTATTTTATTTATTTATTTTTTTTTGAGACCGAGCCTCGCTCTGTCGCCCAGGCTGGAGTGCAGTGTCCTGATCTCGGCTCACTGCAAGCTCCGCCTCCCGGGTTCACGCCATTCTCCTGCCTCAGCCTCCCGAGCAGCTGGAACCACAGGCTCCCGCCACCATGCCTGGCTAATTTTTTGTATTTTTTTGTAGAGACGGGGTTTCACCGTGTTAGCTAGGATGCTCTCAATCTCCTGACCTCGTGATCCGCCAGCCTCGGCCTCCCAAAGTGCTGGGATTACAGGCGCCTGGCCGGGATTGCAATTTTAAATAGGTAGCCAGGGAAAGCCTTACTGACAAAATGACAATTGAGTAGAAACCTGAAGTGCATGAGGGACAAAGCCAAGTAAATACCTGAATGAAGAGAGTTCCAGGCAGAAAAGATCCAGTACAGAGGCCTTGAGAAAGGAGCATGCATAACACATTCTAGGAAGAACAAGTAGACTGGGACTGGCTGATGCAAAATGAAAAATGGGGACTTCTATGGTTTGAATGTGTCCGTGAAGGTTGATATGTTAGAAACTTTATCCCAAATGTGGTGATGTTGGGAGGTGGGGCCTAATGGGAGGTATTGGTTCATGAGGGCTCCATCCTCATATATGGCTGATGGCATTACTGCAGGAATAGGTTCCTTATAAAATAGAGTTCAGGCTCCCTCTTGCACTTGTTCTCTTTCTCTCTCTTTCTTTCTTGCCCTTGGCCTTTTACCGTGGTACGACATAGCAAGGAGGCCCTCACCTGGATCTTGGACTTTCCTACCTCCTAAACCTGGAGGCAAATAAATTACTGTTCATTATAACTTACCCAATCTATGGTATTCTGTTATAGAAGCACAAAATAAACTAAAAGAGGGAGAGTAATAAGAGGTGACATTAGAGGCTTCATGGAGGTCAGATTAGGTTGGACCTTTGATATAGTTTGGATATTTGTCACCACCCAAATCTCATGTTGAATTTTAATCCCCAATGCTGAAGATGGGGCCTGGTGGGAGGTGTCTGGATCATGGGGGCGGATTGCTCATGGCTTGGTGCTATCTTTGCAATAGTGAGTTCTCAGGAGATCGAGATCTGGTCATCTAAAAATATGTGGTACCTGCCCCTCCACTCACTCTTGCTCCTGCTTTTACCATGTGATGTCCCTGCTCCCCCTTTGCCTTCCACCATGACTGTAAGCTTCTTGAGGCCTCCCTAGAGGCCCAGCATCTGCCAGCACTGTGCTTCCTATAAAGCCTCCAGAACCATGAGTCAATTAAACATCTTTTCTTTATAAAGTACCCAATCTCAGGTACTTTTTTTACAGCAATGCGAGAACGGCCTAATACAGTCTTGTATTAATGAAGCCTTAGAAGGGTGTTGAACAAAAGAATAACAGTTTTAAATTTATATTTTAATGCTATCTCTGAGCTGCACTGTGACATCAAGATGGAAAGTTACAGTGATAGTCCAGGCAAGATACAATGGTAGTATGGCCCAGAAATTACAGGAGAAGTGAGAAGTTCTGATTCAGCTATTGGGAAGAGGATTTGCTGATAGGATGGATGTAGGATGTAGGAGAAAAGACATCAGTGGAGATTGCAGAGTTCTAGATATGAGCAACTAGAAGAAAGGAGTTGCCATTCAATGAAATGGAGAAAACTATACAAGGAGTAGGTTTGGGGAAAATGTCAGGAGTTCAGTTTGGTACCTGTCAGATTTAAGGTACTTATACAAGTGGTGACACCAAGGCTATGCTTGATAGGATTCCAGGGGATGGTCCACAAAGGAAGTGTTAATTTGGGAGCTATCCACATATAGGTGATATTTAAAGCCAAGAGACTCCCGACATCACTAGGAGTGTAAGGATGACAGAAAAGACAGGAGGGCCAAGAATAAATCGCTGGAACATGGCAATGTCAAGATGTCAGGAGAAACTGGCAAAAACTGAGAGAGATTACAATGGATTAAGAGAAAAACCAGGAGAGTTTGGGGTGCTTGAAGCCAAGTAAATTTCAGTGATGACAGAACAATCAACTGGGTACAATGTTTCACAACGTATAACTTTTATAGTTAGAAAAAGTACTCCTATAAAATATTTTTGTAAGTAAACAAATTTACCTACCCATATCCCAGATCTTTCATACTTCAATGCACCTCCTGAGAAACACTATTCTTCACTACATGAGAATAATAACTGATATTGGCGACTGCATTAGAATTTACAAAATGCTTTCAAATGCATTAGCTTGATCTCACAGCAATTCTAACATAGATAAGACAGGTTTTACTCTGTCCATTTTCAGACAAGAAAAGATTTAAAGGGGTTAATTTGTTGAAGGTCACATAAACCAGTGGCAGGGCTCACATTTGCATTAGATTCTTAAATACCTTCAATACTGCTTGTACTATAACAAGACACAACTTTGCAGCTGGACCAAAATGTAAACATCACTCCCCCATAAGTAGCAAACATTGGAAAACATTTACCAAGAAGGCTAACCATACTCTCTTAATATTACCATGTTTTTCTATTTTAATGTCAATCTCAGAAAGAGGTGCTTTATTAATTTCCATATTTGTGTCTTCTATCAGGCTATGATCTCCTGGAGAATGATGACAATATTCTCTGAATCCTGTTTTATCACCAGCATCTTGCATAATTCCTGACATATAAAAGATAATTAAGAAATGCTTGCTGGAGTACTTCATGGTAATGAGAGAATCTCATGGTCCATTTGATGTGATTATTTAAGGAGTTTCTAAGACACCCTGCAGAAGCAGGAAGTAAGCTAGGGTGACAGTTTAGGGAATTTTAGCAATGAAATGGGTCCCTGGATTTCAGGCAACTAAACTGTATTCCTGTGTCGGTCCATTTTCACACTGCTGATAAAGACATACCCAAGGCTGGGCAATTTACAAAAGAAAGGGATTTAATGGACCTAT